>NC_000023.11:32889271-33039628 GCF_000001405.40 Homo sapiens
ATGCCTCCAGCAAACACAGTGCTCAATGGGTTTTTGGAGGATGAAGAATGACAAGGGAACCACCATGTTTCTTGACCGTACAGAGATATGAAAGGGCCTACAACTTGAGGCCAAGGAACAAGGTCCCTATGGGATGAATTGTACATGAAATCAGGTAAGCCACACCCGCCTTCAAATCCTGGCACTGTATCAGTGTCAGGACTCTGAGCTAAGCCATCATATCCCCTGTGACCTGCCCTTATACATCCAGATGGCCTGAAGCAACTGAAGATCCACAAAAGAGTGAAAATAGCCTTAACTGATGACATTCCACCATTGTGATTTGTTTCTGCCCCACCCTAACTGATCAATGTACTTTGTAATCTCCCCCACCCTTAAGAAGGTTCTTTGTCATTCTCCCCACCCTTGAGAATGTACTTTGTGAGATCCACCCCCTGCTCGCAAAACATCGCTCCTAACTCCACCGCCTATCCCAAAACCTGTAAGAACTAATGATAATCCCACCACCCTTGGCTGACTCCTTTTTCAGACTCAGCCCACCTGCACCCAGGTGAAATAAACAGCCTTGTTGCTCACACAAAGCCTGTTTGGTGGTCTCTTCACTCGGAGGGGCGTGACAATCAGGTCCCCTCCAGAAATTTAAGACAAAACCCCAGAGAAAGGGGGGGCATCTCAGTCCTAAATTGGCTGAGATGAAATATGCAGGATCTACCGGAAAGTAGGCTTTATATATAAATTAAGTTCAGATTCAAGAAAAGGCAGTTATTGAGATTCACTGCCACTGCATGTAGATCCTTATGTGGGGATTTCTAAGAATCATTGTCCAGCACCTAAACTGCAAAGCAAACCGGTAATAAATCAGACAACAATTAAGAGCCAAGTCATCTTGAGACAAGAGCTCAGGACTCAGAGAAGCAGCCTGCAAATGTGAAATGGACATTCAGAAGTCAGTGAGTTTCTGAACTAGCAGTGCCCGGTTACGAAGCTGTTGAAGAGCCTTGTGGACTGCTTTATATGTTCTGGGTAGTTCCATAGGTCCTCGCAGAAAGAGAAAATAAACCTTTCGTTGAAATTAACCTTAGACCTAGATTCTTAAAGGACTCAAACTTTTCGCGGGGAAGGAAAGGCCAGTCTATTGACAGGAGCTGTAGATATTAAGGCCTGTGGGGGGTGGGGGAGGGGGACTCATTATCTGGGAAAAGCCACACCCTTAATCCATCATAAACAGTGATGCCTGGGGCACAGTTGAGACTACACCTTGGAGGAAGAATCTAGGTTTTTCCTATCCAACTCCAAAAGAAACACATTTCAATGGCAACTGCTGAAAAACAAGCAAACAAAAAGTACCAGCACCTTTTTGTTTCTTTGGTAAGAAGGCGAAACATCCCAGATTGTCTAAAAAAAAGAAATTCGGGAAATCAGAACGTTTTATCATGATCTGGGGTTATGTTGTCCAGTAAGATAGCCACTAGTTATATGTGGCTACTGAACATTTGAAATGGGACTAGCATAACTGAGGAAGCCAAATTTTCATTTTGCTTTATTTTTGCTTCAATTTTATTTATATTGAAAACAAACAGTTTTTAATATTCTTCCATTAACCATAACTTCATTGGTTTGGGAGAACAAGTTTACTTTAACCCATGAAAATATGGCAACTGAATTCAGATGTGCTGTAAATGTAAAATATCCTCCAACCTTAATGATTTAGTACATTCTTTTCACTAACGTAAAATGTCTCATTAAGTCTTTTTTGATTACATGTTGAAATATTTTAGCTAAATAAAACATTAATGTCACCTGTTTATTTTCACTTTTTAAAGTGGCTACTCAAAAAGTTTAAATTACATATATAGCTTATATTTCTTTTGGACAGCACTGGCCTGGAGTACAGTTCAAAAATAGGGCAAAAATTCAGAGTTACTTCTTCCACATCTGAGTTTTGCGAACATTTATTCCTGCTACATACACACCAGTCTGTGTATCTACACATAATGAAAAACAGACTTTTCTCAATCCCCTCATATACAGAGGGCAGGTGAGTGAGCCAGTGAGAGAAGACTGAGAGGTAAGTGGATCATATAAATTAAGATGGCCTAACAACATTAGAATCATTAGGATTTAATCCTATAACTTATGACAACAGTCCAAGATGCAAAGTGATTTTTAAAAGTGATCTAAATTAAATTTTCTAGTTTTCCTTTTCTTTCCCTTTAATAGGTTTCATGAAAATCAAGAATTATAAGGCGGGGAGGTAAGGCTGGAGAAGACAATCTAATAAAGCGATGTAGGACAAATGAGAAAAATCAGGCTTCCTTATTCTACTCCAACACTTTCCAACTGTCATGACCTTCATGGTCTGTCTGTACCTCAATTCTCTGATCAGTAAAATTTGGATGAAATATGCTGGACTCTGTTGAGACAAAATGAAAACATAAGGAGAGTCTATCATCTGTAAATCACTACATTATGTACCCATTAGTATTTTATTGTTAGCAAAGATTAATAGAAAACTGACAACTCCAAGGCTGGATGGCATGAAGCCCTACACCTAGTAGTTGCTGCCATAGTCTGATTTGAGGTTCCTCAAATCATTCTTCCCCAGCCTAATCATTTTTTCTCTTCAGACCTGGAATCCTGCCATCCTCTCGCGTCATAGTTTGGGGGTTACTGCCTGCATATGCCAATGAACAGTATAGCCACGTGACACAGAAATGAAGGCCACAGAACCATAATTCATCAGTTATTCAATGTGTTAGCTGACAACTTGGAAATCATAGAGCACTCAACTCCAAGTTACTTCCTGAAAAGCAGAGAAATGCTTCCTCAGTGAGGCCACAGAACTCACAGCTTTACATTTTACCTACAATTTGCACATGATCCACATGATCTGGCCTCGGCTTTCCCTCAACCCCTTACAACTGTTACAGTTTCATAGCCTTCTGTCAGTCACTAGACAAAACTCAGACACTTCCTTCCAGTACTGGCAACATTACTGCACATTCTTCTTTTAGGTTTTCAGCCCTGGCTACACATTAGCATCACCCGAGGAGCTTTTAAATCTGTACCATTGTGTGTTTCTGATGCCCCCCACGCCATGTTGTTTTGTTTGTTTTCGTTTTTTGTTTTTTGTTTCTTTGAGACAGAGTTCTACTCTTTTTGCCCAGGCTGGAGCGCAACGGTGCGATCTCGGCTCACTGCAACCTCTGCCTCCTGGGTTCAAGCGATTGTCATGCCTCGGCCTCCCAAATAGCTGGGATTACAGGCACCTGCCACCACACCCGGCTAATTTTTTTTTGTATTTGTAGTAGAGACGGGGTTTCACCATGTTGGCCAGGATGGTCTTGATCTCTTAGACCTCGTGATCCACCCGCCTCAGCCTCCCGAAGTGCTGGGATTACAGGCGTGAGCCACCCGGCCTCTAATGCCCCCTTTCTTTCATAACATTACACACCAAGTATTATTTGGCAAACTTCTCATCCCCTATACTGTATTACTTATTGACATTGTTTCCCAGCTCAGGCCTACACGCTTGGCACATTCTGTCTCTCTGGCCACAATGATCGTGTAAGCAAGGCTGAAAACCAACTTAAAGGAATGGGAAGAGTTACAAACTTAAGTCTCCCACACATGATGCAGGATGATGACTTTATCAGATATTTTCATGATTTTATGATATTTATCAGACATTTTCTCCTGGGAAGTTTATGTTAGAGTAAAAATCATGTATCATTAGGGAGTAGAGGTAATGCTAAAAGCAAGGACTGAGAGTAGTTAATTCATGAGAATGAATGATGGAATCCCATGACGTGATAGATCAGCTGCTACACTATGGTCTCAATAGTTCAATTATTCATAAAATTACACTGATCGTAGTTTTCTAATGTGACATTTTTGTTTTGATTATTCGGTTGGTCAGACAACTGAGTAACCAAATGGTTTCGCCTACTTATTTGGTTATTCAGTTGTTCAGTTTCTTGACCTTTTTACCCCATGCTTCCTTAACATAAGCTGAATTTATCTCTGTTCAATGTAACACAAAAGCCCGTATTTAGAGCCAGATTATACCAGTTTCCAGCTGTGTCCTCTTAAACATATTACTCATTCTCTCATGTCTTCCATTTCTTTCCTTAAAAAATGAGAATACCACCTATCTCCTATATATGTTTGCAAACATGTTTACAAGATATATGTGAATTACCTTGCACAGTTAGCATCTCTCAGGATGTGAAAGTGACCGTCTTCCTCCTCAGTAATTTACTCTTTGTCTTATCAAAGCCATTAAAACCCCTCAGAGGTGATTAAATTTGCTGTGATAAACAGTGGGGTTATTAAGCAAAGTAGTAAACTATGAACACACCTAAGTTTTTTCTTAAATATTGTAGTGGAGCTGGAAATTTTTTTTTTTAGGTATTTCTTCCATATCCACAAAAAAGCAGCAAGCCCACTGAAACTCATCTGTTTGTGCTACTAAATAATCCCCTACTTTTCCTACTGTAGGTTGATTTATTGGTCCCCACTTTCTCATTCCTACTTAATAGGATGGCATATCTAGCCTATGGTGGGAAATGTGATAGCCTTTGGTCAACGGGGTGTTAAGAAAACATGACAGGAGCAGAGCCTTGAGATGGGCTGGCATGTTTGGGCTTGCTATCTAGTGACAACCTATGAAAACATGCACTGGGTGGCCGGTGCCATTCCAGTGTGTGCCTCTGGACGTGACACATCAAAGAAATCCAAACCAAACCTGCCGCTGAAAGCCAAGCCTAGCAACTACCAGCCTGATGCAGAACCAAATCTAGATCAACTTAGGTCAGCCAAACCCCGCATGACCATGAGAATTAATGCTATTTAAAACCATTAAGTTGGAGGTAATGATTATTACTTGATATTATTGTTTTGAGAGCTGACCAATACATCTGCCCAAATAAACGCGTTTGTTCACATCATGATGTTGTACTGAACCCCTATAACCCTCAATAGCGAAGGCATCAGGTTCAAGAGACTGAGGAAGAAACCCATAGCCAGCAAACGAGGCATTGGGTTTTATTAGAGGTTTACATACAGGGGAGGGAATTCAGTAGTGGTGGGCTGGACAGGAGAAGTGCCTTACCTGTAGAAACGATCCAGTGGTGGCAGACTGGACAAGATAGCCTCGCAGCACAGTGGTAGTGATGGCGGCGGTGGGATGAGCGGGCAAACCAACGCTGCTTGCGGGCAGCATGCAGTTTATATAGCATTTTTACTTAACCCTCTGCCCTTAATGACGTTCACCTGGCAACCTTCATCCAACCCAAAACTCGGGGCCTCAATCCGCTGTATGTATGGCCCGTGTTCCACGGGATGCACTTGGGGCTCAGATGTTCCTCATAGACAAGGAAGGGCTCTCTTGCTGGGCTACTCCCAGATTCCGTAGCTCGGAAAACACATTCAGGTGTGTCTGCAGTACAGGGTCATTCTAAGGGTATGCGCACATTATTGCAATCAGGTGCATTTACCATATACTTGATTACCTATCTTACTGGTTATGTTGTTGTTTTGTGTGTACGTGTGTGTATGCATGGGTGTTTTTACAGAGTCAGATGTCAACCGCAGGGACAATACAAGTGTCTTACTCATTTCAGCCTGCTGTAACAAGATACCATAGACTGGGCAGCTTAAACAACAGAAATTTATTTTCTCACAGTTCTGGAGGCTTTAAGTCCGAGGTCAGTGTTCCAGCGTGTTCAAGTTCTGGAGAGGGCTCTCCTCCTGATATGTAAACAACAACCTTCTCCTGTGTCCTCACATGGCAAAGCAAGAGCAAGCTCTCTGGTGTTTTCTTTACACGGGCCACCGGATCAGAGCCCCACCTGCATGTGCTTATCTTACCCTAATTAATTCCCAAAGGTTCCATCTCCAAATATCGTCCCATTGGGGGTTAGGGCTTCAGCATATGAATTTGGGGCAAACACGAATAGTCAGTCCATAACAACAAGTGAAGGACTACAGAATCTATTTTATACAGTAATATTTTCTTTTATGAGCTATATGAAAGTGACAAAGCAAGTGGTTTAGTATTGTAATACCATGACAAAGATTAAGAACTGAACTGAGCAAATACTTTATACTTCTGGTTCAGTTCATCATAACTGAATTACCCAAAAATATAAAAGGAGAGCTGTAGTTGTTCTAGAAAAATCTTCCTTCGTGTAGGAGTGGGTTTGCGGGTTACTGTGCTAATCCACACCTGGAGTTTTGGGCGTCAAGGTTGATAAGGGTCAAGGGTTTGGGTTTTGGCTCTGGCTTGTGGAAGATCGTTTTCTGAGAGCATTCTTGGGCACCAGCTGGTCAGACACTCCCATTCCAATGGGACATAGTTTTCAACAGAGAGGAATAATCCAGGTGTATATAAGGCAATACAAGAAACCTTGAGGCTTCCAGGCCTTAGCAAGAAGAATTGGAGTGGAAGTTTAAAAGCAGAACTGGAACATTTTCTAATTGAGGGTGGTAGAGAGAATTCTGATATTTATATATTCGGCTGAGGTTGAGAGCTTTCAAGGATGCTGAGCTGGCTGCTGGCTTGGAATGAACGTGTGTGTGTGTGTGTGTGTGTGTGTGTGTGTAGTGTAGTGTAAATAAGCAACATTGCTAGTCTTGTAATCTTATAATTGTTCATAAGAGAAAATACAGTCTAGAGGAAGAGATCATCTAGTTTACTGGGAACTAGTAATGCTTATCTTGCCGAGGTTTAAATGAATGATCACGGCTGTAATGACTTATAAGAAAAATTAAATCTAAGAGCACAGCCTCTGAGCAGAAACTGTATACAGAGGTTTATGTACACAGCTGTGCGATGAAAAGAATTAGATGTGCTGTGCCCTGATGCTTTTGCAATAAAGGGTTCAAAAATCTGTGGAGAACACCCTACTCCTTAGTACAACCCAGAGCAGTCTGCTGTAGCCTGCTTAATTGGTATGCTATGATCAAATCCCTCTTGATTACACCCCTAGGGTATAATAGGAGGCAGGTTTTACTTTAACGCCTTTCATCATACAGAAAGTAAACTGCTTTATGGATAAAAATAGCCATGTACAGACTCACTATTGACACCAGCCACCCCTGGTGACTTCAAGGCTCATCAGCAATGCACAACTGTTTTAAAATAAAGCAAAGAGTCACATGTAGAATTGGAATTACAGGAATAATGAGAAGTAAACAGAAAGAGGCCACGTTGCCTTGAGGGCTAACCTATAGATTAGAAAAAAATCGGGGCCCTAAAAGACACACTACTGATGGGGTCTAGGGATAGAGCTATTTTTAAAGCAGTGGTAACAAAACAATTGGTGTCACGTAACACTCCAGTAACTAAGATAATTCACTTGACTGCAAGACAAGCAAAATATAGGATGTTAAATGTGCAACTATGTCTCAAGGTTACCCAAGTTAAAATTTGGAGCAACTAAACATGTCTCATTTTACAATGACAAAATGAACACTTAGTTTTCACTGTGTTTAAGAAAAGTGTCTTTGCCACATTAAATGCATTATCAGGAGATACATTATTATCACAGCTGCAAGGAAAATATTTTTCAGATTCAAAGATTCAACAACACTGTGGTACGCAGAACTTGAATTGCTGTCAGATGAAAAGTTAAACGTCAGCAATTGAAACAACAAATATTCAGGACAAAGTGTTTATAGCCCTTTCTTTTGAGGGTTTTCACATTGAGGAAGTATGCTTTTTATCTTCTCCAGTGATACTTTAACATGGGCCTTCAAGCACCTGAATAACAGCAATTACAAAAATATATTTTTTTCATCAACGACTGGGCATTTTATGCGTTTTTTTTATTTTGCCTATTAAATATGCCCTTAAAATCGTGCTTGTTCCTCAGTCTACTTATTAGAAGTTCAAAACAAGGCTTTGGTTCAAATCCAGTTTCTGAGATAAATTTCTTAATTCATTGTAAAAAATATTAATGGTGACCAAAATTTTAATGTTTTTAGAAAACATCACAGGTAATCAGAACAAACAGGAATAAAAAGAACAAAGAGTAAAGGAAGGAGAAGGAAGGAAGAAGGAAAGGGGAAATATAAGGAGGAGTAGAGAATGAAGAGGTGAAGGGAAAAGCTGTGATTTTTATTTTCAGATAAAGCACAGGTAGAGAAAATCTATGACATTAGGAGAGTCTTTCATTTAAAAACCTCATAGTTTTAGGTAGGAGGGTTCTTATTGGTGGAATCTTTCATACTTGTTCAATCCAAATTATCCATTAATTGTTCTGTCTGATTTATTAGCTTTCATCAAATAAATATCATTTTCTATGCTTTAGCAACTTGAAATCATTTGCCAACTGTTGTTATATAATACAAGTCGAAAAAGTTGGTATGCCCAAAGGCTTATCTGGATTTTGTATTCATTTTTTCCATTTTGAAGTTCAAAACAAGTCATTTCTTTTTCTTTATTCTCTGCAATCAATACAAAATGTGTGTTCATACTATTAAGAAGAGCATGACTGTTAAGAAGCCTTAGTTCAATGGATTAGTAGACAACCATTTTTTTAATTAGTCTTCCCCCTCTGAACTTTTCTCCACTTTCCGCAGCAAATGGAAACGTAATGAGAATCTCATAGTATTCTGCCAAAATAAAGGGGATGTCAGGCAATAAAGCATATCCTTGCTAAATAGCATCACAAATCCCATATGTAGAATTATCATTTTATTTTTAAGAGTTTTTTCCACCAAAAGCCAAGAATAAAATTGCTTTGAAGGATAATTGTTAAATGGTTATGCTTTGGCTCTATATTTGAGCCTCCACGTAAGTCTTTAATTAATAATTTGTGCTATGGACCGTGTTCTGATGAGATGTTTTGCTAAGGAGATATGCTCCCTTCCCTTACTGCCACCCACAAGAGTAAATAAAAGCAAGACACTGGCGTTTTGGAAGTCAAACTGGGATTCTGAAGAAGTTCCTGGGCTCTGAGTATCATGCTACACAGTAGAGAGTCACTTCCTGCCTCTCTAATATCTAAAACAAAAGATTTGAACTGGTAGCCATTGATCTAATTCAGGCCTGAGATACATTTGGCTAGTTTGATACAGGACAGGTTAAGCCCCAAAATCAGGGCTTGGCCTGGGAGGATTCTTGGCTTTGCCTAGGAAAGAATTCAAGGGCGAGCCAGTGGCGTTAAACAGCTATGTTTTAGTGAACATTACTGCGCTTTGTGAAATAGGGACAACTCATAGGCAGTGCCTCCAAAGTTGGCAGGGTATGGGCTGCTGGCTACTGTATTTATATCCATTTATACCCACTTTCAATTACATGTAAATTAAGTGGCAGATTAATGCAAATTGAGAGACAGGTTATTTAGAACTTTCTAGGAAAGGGGTGGTAACTTCTGGGTTATTGCCATGTCCTTTGTAAACTGTCATGGTGCTGGTGGGAGTGGCTTCTGCTAATATGCAATGAGGGCTGCTGGGGATCACTTTTGTTGCCATCTGCTGGTTTCTGCTGTTTTTCTCACTTCCGTTGGTCGCTGCCTGCTGGTACCTGCCAGTTTCTTCACTTTATCCTCTGGGAATGGGAAATAAGTCCTGCCCAACTCCTACCTCAGGCTTGCACAGAATTTTTAATTGGAAAACCTTTTTCCAGTTACCCACCAAATATACATCACTGCCTACTATATATCAGGCACTGTTCCAAGTGCTTGGGATTCACCAGTAGACAACATGCACACATAAAAAAAAGTGCTCAACTTATGAGGCAAATATATAGTGCACTGGGATGTTTTACATACAACTCCAGATTCTTAAGTTCCTCTTGAAAAATAAAATATATGGCCAAAAATAGCTCTACATTCTGACATGGACACTGCTAGACTGAATTGATTAGCAGTTGCCCATTTTAGACTGGGCACAGGCGTGCCATTTGCCAGTATTCTTTCCAATTTACACAATGTCCGTATGCATTTAGATCTTTGCTTCACCTATTTCCATTCCCTTTCAGGTCCTTGCAGGTATTTTAATTGTGGACTCCATTCACTGTATTATTTTATTTTATTTCAGTTCAGTTTGTATCATTTTGAGTTCCTGTTTTTAATTTAGTATAATATCATAGAAAGTGTTTGTACTTAATTCTACGGCCGGGTGCGGTGGCTCACGCCTGCAATCACAGCACTTTGGGAGGCTGAGGCGGGCGGATCACGAGATCAAGAGATCGAGACCATCCTGACCAACATGGTGAAACCCCGTCGCTACTAAAAATACAAAAATTAGCTGGTCGTGGTGGCACGTGCCTGTAGTCCCAGCTACTCAGGAGGCTGAGGCAGAAGAATCACTTGAACCTGGGAGGCAGAGGTTGCAGTGAGCCGAGATCGCGTCACTGCACTCCAGCCTGGACAACAGAGCAAGACTCCGTCTCAAAAAAAAAAAAAAAAGAAAGAAAAAGAAAAAGAAAGAAAGAAAAAGTGTTTGTACTTAATTCTAATGCAGAATGTTATGGATTCTTATATTGGTTCTGGTATAAATAAGCTAAATAAATTTAAACATGTTTTTTAAACTCTGTGTGGTCCAAATATATTCTCAGTAAAGTAAGAGTTTGACTTATTTGTGGGTTTGAAATTGAGTTCAGTTGAAACTCACAATTCAGTTGAGCTGCTGTAATTTCAGTTTTATGGTTCCGTCTTCCTTATGCTATATATTTTTAAAAGAGGTTTTGTTGATAAAAAAAAGAAAGTTTGTGAACCACTGGGCTTTCTGATCTCTATGATCTCCTACAAATTTAAACTTATGTGATTTAACACTAATCAAAAGCAAATCGGTATTCCTATTTAACTTTTTATATACAAAGGTCTTATTTCCTTAAAATTCCCTAAGTTGGAATAATATCTTAAAAGCTGTTCTTCCATAGTGTCAATTAAGTGCATAATAAACTAAAAATATTTGCTGAAAATACATACACATCTGGTAAAATTGTGTTGGTATGAATAGGAATAATAAATACAAAAATGAAAATTGGGAAGAGAGAATAGTGGTGCATTTGGGAAGGGTGGCATGTGGAGGAGGGCTTCTAGAGTATTAGTCATATTCTAGTCAATTTTTCTTTAAGAGAAGGGCCCTCACTCTGTTTCCCAGGCTGAAGTTTAGTGGCACTATCATAGCTCTCAGTCTAACCTTGAATTTCTGGGCTCAAGCCATTCAACTGCCTCAGCCTCCTGAGTAGCTAGGACTATAGGTGCATGCCACTATGCCCAGATAATTTTTTAATTTTTTCATAGACTTAATGTCTTGATATGTTGGTTAGGCTGGACTCAAACTCCTGGACACAAGCAATCCTACCACCTCAGCCTCCCAAAACTCTGGGATTACAAGCACAAGCCACCACACCCAGCCCCCTATTTCTTAAGTGAAGTGATTATGAGGAATAGCTCAATTCATTATTGCTCTATATTCCTTACACATGTAAATCTTATATGTACATCTATAGCAAATGAAAAAAAAGGAATTTTCGTTGATATTTCCTTTAAATGAAGATCACATTGGAGGTCAAAATGTCACACCAAAAGGAAAGTAAAAAACTCAAAGTAAAGATATTTTGTTAAAATTATGAAGTGTTAAAATTGCAAATGACATCTCATTTGTAAATATTGTATTATTATTTATTAAGAATTACTCGAATAAGCCAAAATGATGAAAATGCTTGTTATATAGAGAAATCTAAAATGTAAGGCAGTAAGCAGCTACTCTTCCAATAACTCCAAAAGATGAAAATATGTTTGGTATACTAAAAAAAATCTAATCTGTAATGTAGTCAGTGGTATATTTTGAAAGAAAAGTAAAACTATAGTTTTGATTATTTATAAAAGAATGAATTATTTTATATTTAAAATAATTAAGTCAGAGTTAAATAGTAGTAACATGTAATTTTTAAAATTGATAGGAAGTGTATATTATACAAATGTGATAAACAGCATTTATACTGTGGAAAATTTGTATCAATGACAGAAGGTAATCTCCCTTCTTACTACAATTCTTTTTTAAAGGGAAAAGAATATAAAAGATGAACAAGTGTACAGTCTGAAAAGGTTAATTTTCTTCTTTAAAAATTTCAACACTTTGAAAGTACCTGCATTCAACTTCTCTTCAAAATTATTACTTCTTAAACTACAGTCAGCCAAGCAATTTGCTATTGAGAACTCTCAAAATCCATTATTAAATACAATTTTCAAACATACCCAGTTTTTTGAAACACAAATTTTAACTTTGCTTTTGAAACTGACTGATGAGAAATTACCTAACTTTGAAAAAATATTCATTAAAAAGTCCATATTCCACCTAGTCATGTGCTAAATATCAGCATTATAAGCAGCTGTTTCAAAACCTAGTTTTATGCAACATGTGCCCTTTTTAAAATTTTTCATAAAATGTAATATCTGTTGGTAGCACTACTAATAATATTATAGGAAAACGCTGAATTACGATCATATAGAAAATTATAAAATAGAAAAATAAACAGAGTTTAGTATAGAGTGTCTGAACATGTGTAAAGCAAGGGGTCAGTTGCGGAGGACGACTTATTGAGATATTTGTAATATCCTTTCATCTACTTTTATCTGTTTTATAGTTTCCTAGTAAATTATAAGCAGTGATTACACCCTTAATCTTTGGCTTTATGGAAAAGTATAAAATCGCTCTTCAGTTTTATTATGACTGTATATGGATATTCTATTTACAAAAACATATGCTATTACATTTTGGCCAATCTTTGTATTAATTTTTGTAAGAATATATTGTGTAAGTATTTATAGGGTAATAATACATATCATACGAATGTTAAGAGTGCAATAGCAAAATAAAGAACCATAGCCAAAATAAATTCCTCATAAGCAAGCATCACACACACACAAACACACACACACACACACACACACACACACACACACACGCAGAAACATGGACATTTTCTTCACTGACTCAGAAAAAATTTTCAGGTAAAATGTCCTGTAAATGTTCGAGTGGTCACAAGTAAAAATTTACAAAGTGTTTCTATAGTTCCAGCAGAAAGCGAGGTGCATTAGAAGAAAAATATTCATGATATATTTAGAAAGACACCAAATTTTGATAAAACAAGTGGTAACTCAGTTTAATTAACCAAATATATACCACATGCAAAATATGTCATAGATACTGATAATTCAAAATAAGTATTCTCTAATTTGGAAATTAGCAACACACATTTTTGTGTATATATGTGGACAGATATATTAATCCATCCCTGGCATAGGAGTATCCCAATGTACTAATTTGAACTCTTATAAAGCATTCAGTTCAATATAACTCATTAAATGGCCCTACAGCCCAAAGAAGAAGCCATCTTTAGTATGCATGATACAAGCTTTCATTTCTATAAAAAGAAATGGCAAAAGATTAGATTTGCAAAGCAAGATAAAAAGACACTTGTCAGCTCCTAGATCTTCCAGGAAGCAGCATATATAGGAGAAAGAGAAAAAAGGTAAAACATGATTGATATAGGAAAACAGCTTTACATTATAAATTGTATGGTGTCTATATACGTGGGAAATTTTCTAAATTAAAAACAAGTCAAGAAACTATAAAGAAATTTGGCCAGGTGCGGTGGTTCACACCTGTAATCCCAGCACTTTGGGAGGCCAAGGCGGGTGGATCACCCGAGGTCAGGAGTTTGAGACCAGCCTGGCCAACATGATGAAACCCCATCTCTACTAAAAATACAAAAATTAGCTGGGCTTGGTGGCTCATGCCTGTAGTCCCAGCTACTCAGGAGGCTGAGGCAAGAGAATCCCTTGAACCCGGGAGGCGGAGGTTGCAGCCCAGGTTGCAGCCCAGCCTGGGCGACAGAGTGAGACTCAGTCTCAAAAAAAAAAAAAAAAAAAAAGAAACTAAAAAGAAATTTTCATTTATTATCAGCAACTAAAAGGATTAAGTACAAAGATAATGTAACTAAGCATTTAGAGGGGAAGACTGGTATGTGTAAGGGTATGGTATAAAAATCATAACTCTTCAGAAGAAACAAAGACTTTTGAATAATTGCAATGAAATGTATGTAGGTAGGGTGGGGAAAAAGTGGGAGAAGAAGGGAATTACAGCAGAGGAGGCGAGGTAGAGGAAGGCAAAAACCAAATTACAAAGGGCATTTTGTGCAATGCTGAGGGGTTTATTTTTATAATAAAAGCTGTAGGGAAACGTTAAAGCATTGGTTTCCAAGCCTAGCTGAGCATTACAGTTACCCAGGGAGCTTTCTTAAAATGCTCACTCCCAGTCCCTCATACCCAGAGATTCTGATTTAATTTATCTTGGGTGGAGCCTGGTGATTTTCACATGTAGCTAAGGTTGCTAACGGCTGTGTTAATGGATTTTAAGTAAACTACACAATCAGATTTATATTGTGGAATGAACACTAATCCTGGCAGTATTTAGACTGATTTTGGAATAGACTAAACTGCACTGGATTTCTTATGATATTATCATTATAATATAGGAAAGAAGACCTGAAGATCTAAAGTGAAGCCAGGTAGTAAGGATGGATAAGGAGTGGGAGTGGCATTCATAGTTTTAATGCGACTGGAACACGAGAAGCAAGATATCATAGTGATTATAAATATTGACTCGAATTCAAACTCTACTCCTGCCACTTTGTTGTTGTGTGAACTTAGACAAGTTACTTAACCACTCTAAGTCTCTTTTTGCTCATATGTGAAATGGAAATAATAATAGCTGCACCACAGAAATTTTCAACTGTCAAACCAGGTAAGGAAGTTAATAATGGATAACAATATCAAAGATATAGCAAATATTCAACAATGGACAGTCATTATGAAAATCTAGCTGTCTCAGTAAATGTGCTGGATGAATAAGAGGGAAAGGTGTAGCTTGGCTTCTAGAATTTATATGTAATCTTTTTTCTTAAAATATAAAATATATAGAGAAAATCTGTAAGTCATAAGTGACTCAATAAGTTTTCACAAATGTAATGCACCCATTTAACCAGTATCAGATCAAGAAGCCGAACATTATCTAAACTTCATACCCCTTTCAAGTCATGTCTCCTAGGGTATTTATTTGGCCCACTAAATGTTTAGAAATAGCAAGAGAAAGATTATAAGAAGAGGTGTAGTAGAGAGGAAGATAGGTTTAATTTTGGATAAGTGGGGTCAAGAGCCTGTGGGATATTCAAATGGAAAATTCAAGAAGGTTTTGAGCAGAATAAAGGGTAAGTCATAGACACTGAACTGACAGACATTAGCATCAAAGCAGTAGTTGACATTAAAAATGGTTCTTTTCATATTTTCTTTTCTTTTTTTGGAGATGGAGTCTCGCTCTGTCACCCAGGCTGGAGTGCAATGGCGGATCTCTGCTCACTGCAACCTCCGCCTCCCGGGCTCAAGCAATTCTCCTGCCTCAGCCTCCCAAGTAGCTGGGATTACAGGCATCCACCACCACACGCCCGGCTAATTTTTGTATTTTTGGTAGAGACAGGGTTTCACCATGTTGGCCAGGCTGGTCTTGAACTCCTGACCTCAGGTAATCCACCTGCCTTGGCCTTCCAAAGTGCTGGGATTACAGGCATGAGCCACTGCACTCAGCCCATAATGTTTTAATGGTGTATGATTCAAGTGACTAGGCATAATATGTTGCTTGTCTCGTTGCTCAAAAAGTAAGAAAAATAAAAGAAAGAGACTCCACTCTTTTGCTAGGTTTAACATTGTGTTGTTGTATGTATATATGTATTTCTGTACACATCCCTATATTGGGACCATATGACCTTCCACAAAGAAACAATCTTACTTAAAATTGTTTTAAATAAATATGTAAAAAGTACTATAAAATTTTACATTATTTTGCGACAGAAATACAAGTTTTGTTACTGATTAGAGATGCAGCAACAGTTTGCTTTTCAACTACATTAGGAACCCTATGAGCATTTTTTAGATAATTTCATAGTAATAAGTAGGAAGTACATAAGACATAGGATTCACTAACTTGGTGAGAACTTAATTGCTCACAAGAGAAAAATGCTAGACTAATCCCCTTAGCAAAGAATCTATGATTAAAAGATTCTAAAAAATAATTTGAACAATTTCCAGTTACCATAAAAAGACATGGTTGAGAAAAATGCAACTTTTTGCTATTGATATTCAATAAATGTTTACTATATATATAAGTTGGGGCTGAGTCTTTCTTTCATTCTTTGGGTCTTAGCATAAACACCACCTCCCCCAACACCACCTGCTCTAAATTAGGTTTCACTGGCCACTCTCTTGTCCCCTTGTCCATGAGAGCACCCAACATAATTTGAAAGTATACATTTAATTGTTTGTTAGCCAGCTTATTGACTATCTTCTCCTTAATGGATTAGTTTGTGAAAGTTTAGACCATATTCATTTGGTTCACTGTCATATTCCTGGCACCTAGAAGGGTTGTTGACGTATTGCAGAGATTCTCAATCTTGGTGCTACTGAGATTTTGCACAAGATGATTCTTTATTATGGTGGGTTGACCTGAACATTATTACATGTTTAGCAACATCCCTGGTCTCTACCCACTAGACACCAGTAGCAAACATCTCTTCTTTTAGTTATGCCACTAGGAATCTCTCCGGACATGGTGAAATAACCCCTGGACGGCAAAACCACCCAGAGTTGAGAATCACTGAATAATTTAATACATAAATGAACAAATGAGTGAGTGAATGAATGAATGAGTTAATGAATAACTGTCTGATTGCTCAGAAAACGGAAGTAGAAGCAGGAGCAAAGCACATTCCAGTCAGATAGTGATATGGTTTAAATTCATGTCCCCACGAAATCTCATGTTGAATTGTAATCCCTAATGTTAGAGGTGGGGCCTGGTGGCAGGTGATTGGATCACGGTGTTTCTCATTAATGGTGTAGCACCATCCCCTTGATGCTGTTCTCGCGATAGTGGGCTCTCACGAGATCTGGTTGTTTAAAAGTGTGCAGCACCTCCCCACTTGCTGTCTCTCTTGCCCTTGCTCCCACCGTCTGAGTCACCTCGCTCCCCGTCTGCCTTCTGCCATGATTAGAAGCTTCCTGAGGCCGCCCCAGAAGCAGAAGCTGCTATGCTTCCTGAACAGCCTGCAGAACCGTGAACCAACTAAACGTCTTTTCTTTATAAATTATCCAGTGTCAGGTATTTCTTTACAGCAATGCCAGAATGGACTAATACAGAGGGAACAGTAAATAAGTAGACACCGAGGGACTTGAAAGCTTATTACATGCAAGAACTAAGACAGAGCTAGCTTGCCTGGAGCTACAAGAGCAAAGCTGAATTGAAATGGGCGAGGGAGGCATGGTCCAGTTATGTAGGTCAAGGTTAAAAGGTTTGGAATTTACTCTTGGTAGAATGAGAGGCGTTTTAATGAAGAGGTGAGATGATTTAATTGATCTTTCTAAAAGGTTGCTCCAAATGCTGAAATTAGGATTTATAGATGGGGTCAAGACTACATGAGAGAGAGCAGTTAGGATGCTATTTCAGTACTCCAGGAAGGAGCTGATGGTACACAGAAGTGTCAAAGTTGAGAGGGACTGTACTAATTTGTAGGCCAAGCCAAATCAATCGGCCAAGCAAAATGGATTCTATATAAATATTATGATCATGAACAATATATTAGAATGACATTATATGCATAAGACATAGGTTTGGTTATTTTACATACATGTAGATGAAATTAAAGAACTAATTTCCTGAAAGATTTTAAAAATCACTTAGTCTCTGTATTTGTTGAATGACTATGATATCATCCAAATTCCAGAATAAAAACATTCTATAGTGTAAATTCATGAGAAAATACCCTATTGAGTATTATTGGCCTTATAATGCAAGCTTCACTTAACTTTACAATTGTGGAATAATTTTCTCACTGTGATGTTCATTTCATTGCGTGAAACAGGTTCAGTACATTATTCATGAAACTACTTCAAAATGCTTTGTTTTAGATTTAAAAAATATTGGTATTCACATAACTGCTTTGCCAATGTGAGGTTTCATACGAAATTCATTGTTTGATTTTCTGAAAACTTATCATATTGATTTTGTGTCAAATCTTTATGAACAAGCATTTTTATAATAAAGTTTTATTCTTTTCTCATAATCTCCTTCCCTTCATATCTCACTATAGATTGTACTAAATATTGTATCTATCCTTCATGTACATACAGTTCTACGAGGAAATAAGAAATTCAAGCGGTTCATTGAATTAATCACTAATAGGAGAGAATTGATCAAAATTTGCTGTAATTTTCTTCCTTCAAAATCATCAGAATTCTGGTAAAGCTTTGTATTTCATAATTTGGACTCCACATATTGGTGACAATTCAGACACTGAGAGTGGAACACAAAGGAATTGGGTAACGAGATCACTAAGGGAATTTTTAGCCTAGTAAAGACAGTTTCTCAACATTCAAGAATAATTCAATTACATAAAAATTCATATAATAGTAATTAAATGACAAAATACTTTTGAATACTTATTAATGCACACCCCTCAGAGACCTGAAATTTGCAAGACTATATAGCTTAATTTGAATTTGAATTTTCTTACTTATTTTAGCAAAATAAACTTAAGGTTCATAAGAACATAGCTCTTCATTCACTTATCTTGGTCGTAAATACTGTTAAACACAAAATCAGGTGCCCACAGCTCACAAATCTACACATGACACATCTCTTTACGTTCCTCCTGACCTACCTCAGCCCAAATCCCTCTCTACCTCATAGAATTTGATATTAACTTTCTGCTAACTTTTTGAAAGGAGAATAGTTCTGTTGCTACGAGTCACCCTTGACCCTTTGCAAGACCAAACATGCCGATAATTTAAAATGTGATGTAGGCTCTAATCAATAATTAAGTGTTGTTCTATTAACTTATGATATATCACATACTTTATTTGATTCAGTGACATTAATATCATCATCAAACGGTATTATAATTTCTCATATTTTAATCTCCTGTTCTACCATGCAGCAGAGCACAGCTGCATATTATATTTTCCATGGGAAATATCAGCCATCATATGGCTTGTAGTCTTCCAAATTTCTGGCCTACTTTTCAAAATCAAATGTCTACAATTTCCAAAAAACACTGAAAATATTTTTAAAGTACATTTTGCACCAAACATTTTAACTTATGAGTAATCAACCTTTACAACATTTGAACGTAAAACGGAAGTGCTAAAAGTCTGGCAGCAAAAACAACCTTTCAGCATTTTATGAGAGATCCTGTATCGTCATATTGGTGAATTTAAAATGATTTTAAGTTCTTTCTTTCTTCTCATGAGACTTTAGATCTAAGCAGTCTGTCTTTAGCACTAACCGGGATCACTTCAATGCAACATTTTCATGGAACACAGCATTTGCTGTCAATCAATAAGATTATAATTACAAAATAATGATGCCTTACAGACCCATTCTAAAAATACTTTGACATCTGAATCTATGAAAGGGCTCAAATACCAAAAAGGATCTTCCAGATTCACATGAATAAAGTTCCTGAGGTAGTTGATATTTTAAAAATTCCGTGTCATGCCAATTATGTGAACCTATGCTGGTTAGATCACACCTGAAAATTTAGGATGTATTGTCATGGTATGTGAACTGACTACAAAAGGTATCAGGAGGTTGATATTTGCTACATAAGAGAAAGATGTGTTCAAGAAATCCTCACACCTTTGCATCTCACTAGGCAAATGGGTTAATTACATCTGAAATCATATTTCGATTTGGTTGATAGTCTGATAAGTTAATTTAAGGTGACCCTGGTACCATCTAACTGTTTTGTTTTTATTCCAAATAGGATATTGGCCCTTTCTAAAAAGGATTATGTAGTCTTGTCTATATGAGCAAAAAAAAAAAAAAAAAAAAAAAGTAACCTGAGTATAACTATGGTACTAAGAAAGAAAATCAGTATACACAGGTAGGATTTATCTGCCATAAAGAATAGTTCACTGCTATAAGAATTTCTTACAAGAAACTCTACTGGATAATCAACCTTCTAGTCAAACTCCAGGGAATTCAATGTAGTTTAAACTCAATACATATTAGGGAAATCACAAAATGAATCATATGTAGTCATTCTATGGATGAGTTCACAATCTAGATAGTATTTCCGTGGGGGTAATGAGGAGTATCTCGCCACGTCAGAGGAGTGAGTATCCTTCTGCCTTCTTAAGTATAACACATATAGTTAACATAATATTTTCTTGAAGTAACAGTAGAGAGTCAAGCCTTGTAGGAGAACAGATATTTTCTACCAAGTCTCAGCTTAGTCTGTTACTCAGTTTTCTTGCCATAGTACTCTGCAACATGCTGAATCCACGGTTTTTGTAGAAATGCGTCCACAAAATTTATGCCATGAATGCAACAAAAAAGCAGTACACACATCCAGTAAGAAATTGAATTCAATCAGTAGATAAGCTTGGCCAAATATTTGAAACTCAAAAACTAAATCATTAATTGTGCAAAAGTAAAGAAAAAGTGGGAAACGAAATTAATGTAAAATATTCCAAAACATTCTTACTATTTTTAACTAAGAAAGCATATTTTACTGATGTCTGCAAGCCTTTTGTTCTTCACTCTTTCAATTCTCTAATCCTGCCATCCACCCCATATCTTTCTTTCATTTGGAATTTTGGTTTACAACACTCAGTTGTAGACTCAGGCATATAACTTGTGTTTTAGTCTTATTCCTTTGCACAAAGACAAAATACATAGACAGGACACATTGATCAGAAAACCAGAAATAATCTATTTCTAAAATTTCTAATCCCTGACATAAATGTATCAAAATCACACAATAATTTAATAGAATGAGAATTGCACACACACACACGCGGCACAATAAAACCCAAGGTAAACCAAAGCACAACAAATGTCCTTCTGAACAAAAAGGTTTTCCAGACAGCTGAGAGCTACTCCTTTGGATGACAGAACACCTCAACTTCTGGATGAAAGGTTTACATGAAAATGATTATGTAGGACAGCTCTCTTTCCCTTCTTATGTATGGTATGTCTAACATAATATTTTCTTGATGATTTAGGGTTAGAATTATGATGTGAAGATATGACTGTGGAAGGATTGATCCCAGGTACATGTGGATGTTCACCCCTAGAATGCAATTTCTTTTTCTTTTATTTTTTTTAGATAGAGTCTCACACTGTCACCCGGGCTGGAGTGCAATGGTGTGATCTGGGCTCACTGCAACCTCCGCCTCCCAATTCTCCTGCCAAGCGATTCTCCTGCCTCAGCCTCCTGAGTAGCTGGGATTCCAGGTGCCCGCCGCCATGCCTGGCTAATTTTTCTGTGTGTGCATTTTTAGTAGAGACGGGGTTTCACTATGTTGGCCAGGCTGGTCTCGAAATCCTGACCTCGTGATCCGCCTGCCTCGGCCCCCCAAAGTGCTGGGATTACAGGAGTGAGCCACCGCGCCCCGCCCTAGAACACACTTTCTTAGAAAGTTTCAAAATATCTTTTTACTGTTACAGTATTTTAGGAATCTGAACACTTATTAGTAAAAGGAAATATGAACTTGCTTTCTCTCAAGTAGTATCTTTCTTTCTCCACAAAGCCATGTCTTAGAGCTCTTTCAATTATGGGTATTAAACCAGTATGACCAGAATCTCAGACAACAGACACTATCCTGTCCACACAGAGCTAATGTTTATCCCTGTCTGCAGTCTTCATCAACAGTTTGGAAAGGAAAAGTCACCCTCGCTATTTCAATATTTTAAGCTGACACATTTTACGAATTCCTTTACACTCTAAAAGTGGTCTATATATTTATTAGATAGGACTTCTCAAGGCATGATATAGCCTAGAATTTTCTGGAACCTCTGAATCCTTTATTGACACTGAAGGTCCATGATAGTGCCTGCAAAATGATTGAACAATACTAAATCTTGTAAACAATTTCACATTATATTTGTAATGTACCACAGTCATTGATCTTATGAATGATGGTGAAACTGGCGGTGGGAAAGAGAGGTAAACACAAAAATGTGTATCCTAACACTAAACCAGTTTCAAAAGGCTGTGCTCCCAAGTTATCCTAGCCATAACATGTTCTGATTTCTTACTTTCACATTAAACTCTGTATAGTATATTGTAGAACTTAATTCATATCTGCTAAATTAAATGAGTGAATACATAAAACGGAAAACTGAGGTAAATTGTGTACTACTTACACTAAATCAAAGTACAGCCTTAAAGGAATATACATTTAATAATGAGTTTTATTAAATAAAAATAATGTATTCTAAACAATTGTCTGCATTTAAAACTTGCCAATGGAACCATGAAAAAATGCCCAAACTCATTTTTCATTAATGCAATTCAAAGTAAATCCACAGCTAGAAACAATTTTATACTCAACAGAGTAGCCAAAAGTTAAGTTTGACATTGTCAAGTGTTAGAATTTGGGAGCAAGCAGAATTTTTAAGTTCGTGAGAATTTAAATTGGTGTAACCAATTTTAAAAATAATTTGGCATAATCTTGGAAACTTAGAAATACATCATGTCAGTCAGAATCTAAGCAGACACAAAAAGTCATTTGATATTTAAATCAGAAAGCTTAAATTATAGAATTGAAACAAATGAGAGAAGAACAGAGTTGACAAGCTGTGGAGGACAAAGTGACTCAGAGTTTAGCAACCACAGGAAGCCACTATTACCCTTAAAGTACAGGGAGAGGAAGGGAGAGGAGAGAAGAAGAGTGGGAGAGAAGGGGAGAGAGAGAGAGAGAGAGAGAGAGAGAAGGAGGAGGATGGGGAGGAGGAAGAGGAGAAGGAATGGGGAGGAGGAGGAAAGAAGAAGGCAGGGTGCATGAATTCAGTGAATGAGGTTATGAGATCATTCATTGGAAGCTGCAGCTATAGTGGGCCTATCTGGTTGGAGGGGGGACATCAAAGCATATGCAGCTGTTGCCAAAGATACTGCCTGAAACACAAAGAGAGGAAGAGAAGCACTCTTGTGTCTTCCCTGAGTTTCCAATCCTTCACCATCAGCCAAAGAGAGCTGGAAGTCACCTGGAAATGGAAGCCTGGCACACACAGTCTACAAAGGTCAGTCTCCCAGTGGTACACAGTAGAGCAGTGTAAAGGAGCCAAAGAGTATACCAGAGGGCACATACATGGGCCCTGTGACCCAGCAATCCCACTCCTACATGTATACAAGGAACCTTGTTTGTAATAGGAAAAGAATTAAAACTGGAAACGACCCTAGTATCCATCAACAGTAGTATGCATAAATAAATTGTGGGTTATTTCTATGACGGAATATGACATAATGCTGCAGTCACAGACATGGATGAATCTTAGCAACATAATGCTGATTGAAAGAAACAGTCACAGAAGAATAAATGCAATATGATTCCAACTATACGAAGTTCAAAAGCATGCAGAGCAAGACTATTTCTCTTTTAGTAATACATATATATGTAGCAAGACTATAAAACAAAGCAAATTTCACGACCACCGTTATCTCTGGTGGTAGTGGGGAAGCGATGGAATTGGAGATGGGTACATAGATGGCTTCAAGTTACTGTGGAAAATTCGAAGTAATAAACACATTTGGTTATGATTGAAACTGTATGTCTTAAAATCTTTTGTTCTTATGTAATAAGATATTTTTAAAAGACAGATACATGTTTAACTGATTGGCAAGTTAGTATAACAACATCAACCTAAAAGAAATTAAGTTTATTTTTGTTTTTGTTTTTGTTTTTTAAATCTGAAAAGCATTTCCCTTTCAGCTTGCTGGGTTTCTTGCACTAAAAGATGAGGGTTTAATAATCATAGCAGATCAGAGGCTTCAGTAGGGAGGAGATGGGATAGCTTATTGTGAAAAACGATTTTCCCCCTAGTTTAAAAGTGGCCCCTGGTAACATTTTTCTTGAAGCTTCTAGTTATATATATCGTTGTCAGTCACTTTGCAACTTTGAAGAAACAGTTTTCCTGCCGAAGGGCTCTATTATAGTTAATATGTGTCTACATAATACAAAAAGTCATTTAAAAATTATTGCTTTAAGAACTATTTATTGAGTGCCTCCTAAGTACATAACATCAAACTGTGAATTTAAAGTGGACTTGCATAATTTAATCAAAATTTATACTAAGGAAAACAGGCTATAGGGCTTTTCGATACTACAATACCTGAAAAATGAAATACTACAGTTATAATCCACATGATACCAGGTATGAAACATTCAGTAGCAGTGGGCTAGAGCTACAGGTTACCTTCTTGAGACACGTTGTCAAAGAAGACCATAGCACTAGGTAATTGGGAAATCCAGTTGGAACTGTGTAGCAGACACTGCCCACTCTGTTGGTTTACCTCTGGCTTGATCAGCCCTGTAATGGAGAGTCTCGGGCATGCTAACAGCCCACCAGGTCAAGCACCCACTGCTTCTCTGTGTTTCAGCCTCACGACTTTGTCCAAAGTTATAGAAACTCACTCATCCAACACACAGGAGGGGACCTGATGTCCCTGAGAAATAATTAATGAGGCACAGGAACCAGAGACATATTCCCCAGCCTCTTATTCTTCAGAGGGACAATTATGAGTACATTCTACAGCATTCCTCAGAGGGGTCTTCACAGGATTGAACAACAGTTTCCCACTGCAGTAGCCAGCTGAATAATACACTCACTATTGTTTTCCCCCGTTTTTCCTTACTTCCCCTGCCTCCCACTTGTGCTCCCTGTGATCAGCTACCAAATGAGCTAGTTGCTCTCTAGTCCTCGCCTCAGGCTTAGCTTTTAAAGAAATCCAAACTAAGACAAACTGTGACAAATTACAATCCAAACGAGATTCTTTCCTCTCAGGGGGATGCTTAGTCCCCCCATCAAGCATCATTATCAAAATGAACACAGACTGCAGAGGAAGAAAATATTTGCCTTCACTGAGCAAAGTCAGACTCATGACCCTCAGGTTAGAGACACAGAGAAATGCAACTAACTCTGGGGTGAATAGGTACAGATTCAGAGTGGAAAGACTTTAAAACAGCAATAAAGTCCTAGAAATAAAAAAAGCTGTCAGCTCGGTACAGACCAGAGCTTGAGAGCAAGAGTACTAAGCGACTCATAGAAAAGGATTCAGGAGGGACCAGCACAGCGACTTTAGGCTCATAGTAACAAGCAACAGTTTGCTTTGGCTAAAGTTTATTACTAGGTGTGGACAAGCAAGAGATAAATATCGGAATCTGTGGGTACAGCCTTTGGATTTCATGCCATGGCAAGGTAAAATCCATCTGCAACATCAAAAACAGAGAGGCATTTGCAAAAGGAAACATGAGGAGAATGTTCCTAGCAGCACTGCCCAAAATAACACAATAAACGAAAAATCTTCGAGCAGCCCAAATGCCCTCTGGCAGGAAAATGGACAGTTAACCTGATTACATAGTAGTCAAAGAAACGACTGCTACACAAAACAATCAAGATAAATTCTAGGGATGGGATGATGCATGAGGAAAATATGAGTCCCAAATATCTTTTTAATAACATTTAAATATAAAAACAAACTAAAACATTTTGTGTCATACAGTAAATATTTTTAATGTTCTCACATATGTTCACAATAGCCCTATGACATATTTACTATTATTGTCCCCATTTTTTTTTTGGATGAGAAAACTGAGGCTCAGAGAACTTCAGTAACATTCCCAAGGTCAGATATCCAGTAATTAGTGTAGACAGAATTCAAATCCAGGTGGAAATGCTCTGAAACCCACAGTCTTACCTGCTACACTAAACTGGAACAAATATTGTTGAAACATATGTATCTGATAAAACATTTAAAAATATTACAGGATTATAAATTCAGGCAATGTTTACTATCCCAAAGTTGGGGGGACATGGGAAGATGGCATGAGGAAGCTGTGCTTTATGTCATTGCCAACTTTCTAGTCCTTCAGTTGGTGGTTAAGTGGAGATAAGGATGAGGCCAGAGAACATGAGTGGCACGAATGCAAGATTACATCTTGTATTCTCTTAAAATTTTAATATTTTGCTCATATGAATTATTTTGCATTGATTTTAATTGTTAAAATGAGGTAAAATATAATTTATCCTGATTTCTGAATTTTTAGGCGACCGCTTACATTTTGTGATTCAGACATAGCCATCTTTTCTGGGAGAGGAAGGGGAGGAGGTACACACAGGATTTGTCTTGAATGTAGGTTTCCCTATTTTCAGAGATTGTATATTTGCTTCCTGTGGCTTGGTGTGAGGTCTGATGAATGTTAAGCGAAGGCTAAATCACCCCCTCTCTCCTTAGTACCACCACTGAAGTCACTTCTTTCTGGCCTTAAGTTCAAAAGGGGAAACTGAATGATGAGTATTGAGCATCTACACTGTGTCATGGCATTAGTAATTGTTCCTCACTTGACTCCCTCAGTAGCTACATAAAGTAAGTCTTCTTATTCTCATTTCATGGAGTAAGTATTCTTATTCCCATTATGTGGAAGAATAATACTTAAAGTATTCTTATTCATGTATTAAAAACTGAGGCTCAGAAATACTAAGAACATTGTCTAAGGGCAAATATTTCAAGTGCCATAAATTCTTAAACTTCATGGGTATTTTGTATGATTTTTCTTTTCAACCTCTTTTGACTGGGCTATTCTGGGAGGTGGTCACAGCTATTAGGGCCAAATGAATTAAAATATATGAAAATGATTGATGAACTGTAAGGCATCATATCAACATAAATATAGTATAATTAATAATGTCAATAATAAAATCATTTACTTCTACTTCTAGTATTCAGAAGAGAGGTAAAGGTATATTTTGCCTATTTTAGAGTACCATATGAAATGAAATAAAATATTATTATGAAGAAAAATTTACTCTTTTCACATTGGGAAACTATCCATCAGAGTCAACAATCATTGTCCTCCTTCTCTCCAAAATAGAACATGCTGAGGTTTATGCTATATTTTTGAACTATTTCTATTAACACAATTAAAATGCTGAAATGAATTTGAAAAGATGTTTATATTCTGACGAAGGGTAACTAGAAATATTTTCTACTCTAAATTGAGTCAGGTGTGATACTGTAAACAGGATAAGTAAAAATATAATATAAAATTTCAAAATTTACTACTTGATTCCAATGTCCAGAAAAGAATGAAAATATAAATCATATAAAACTCTAGCCAATTTAAGCAACTGTAATCCCTTTAGACATCATTAAATTTACTTTACCTCTGACAGTAGGTGATACCATAAATGAGTAAGAACATATTTTAAATGTCAATATATTGTCTCTCTGGATAATATATTTGATGGTTTTATATACCTTACTAAAACCCATAGAAACTTTTTAAAGATGTGATATTAGTGTTGATATCTATTGAAGATATAATTGGCTAAAGTTTAAAAAAGAGTAAAATATTTTTTTCCAAGCACAGCCCAGTAATATTGGACATGTGATCTTTGTTTTTTACTGTTGTCATAAGCATATAGAAAGACAATTTAGCAAGTGTTCTGATGAGGTTTAAAGAGCATTTTTTCTAGTATATGGTAGTATAATAAACAATAATTCATTGTATATTTCAAAATAGCTAGAAGAGAATAATTATAATGATCCCATCACAAAGAAAGGAAGGATTGAGATGATGGATATCCCAATTACTCTGATTTGATCATTTATACAGTATATACATGATTAAAATATTACATGTGATATACTTTGGCTCTGTGTCCCCACCCAAATCTAATGCCAAATAGTAATCTCCTTGTGTCAGGGGAGGGACCTGGTGGGAGATGACTGGATCATGGGAGCAGATTTCCCTCAGACTTTTCTTGTGATAGTGAGTGAGTTCTCACGAGATCTGATGGTTTAAAAGTGTGGCACTTCCCCCCCCCCCACATCCCCCAGCTCCTGCCACCATGTAAGATGTGCCTTGCCTCCCCTTCACCTTCTGCCAAGATTGTCAGCGTCCTGAGGCCTCCCCAGTCATGTGGAACTTTGAGTCAATTAAACCTCTTTTCTTTATAAATCACCCAGTCTCAGGTAGTTCTTTATAGCTGTGTAAAAATGAACTAATACAACATGTAACACGAAAATATGTACAACTATGATATATCAAAAGCTACAAACTATTTTTGTTTGCTCATTTACTATATATCTTAGATATTTTGGAACCACCACCACCACACATCACACACAAATTCACAAACATAACATGTTATAAAACATAGGAAATCAAATGAGAACATTTCCTAAGGCTATGCTTTTTCAACTGGTAGTTGGGGAGGAAACTGAATTTCAAAATCTCCGCTCTATAATTTCTCTCTAACTCTATATTGTCACTTCTGGGGAAAAAAAGAGAAGAAGGTAAATTGCATCTTCTGGCTCTATTCAGAAGAAGAAAAAATGGTTGGTGATCTTTGTTGTATGGATTTTATCTGATGGGTCTCCTAGTTTACACTTAGATTTGCTGAATAAATCCTCCTCATTTCCAGAAAGACAATATGGCTTTGTGGGAGTGCTGAAGGCACATCTTTGTCAGTTCCCACTATCGGAGACTCCCAGTACATCCTGTCATGCCAGGATTTGCTCTGCCTGACAAGAAGGAAGAAGCTTATGATAGCTTTCTGAATGACTCTGAAAAATGAAGCTGCTCTGCAGGTATCATCACTAGACCACAGATAAACTCAATAACATTCATCTGCTAGAAAAAAAAAAAAAAAGAAAGAAAAGGGTTCACTTCCAGATCAGCCTTTGGTAGAGATAGGCAGTAGGGACTTGGCAGTCCCTAGTCACATTCAAATGAAGGTTCGACCTATTGTGCTGAAGTCTAAGACAAAGGTGCTTATTTAGATTTCCTATTTTATGGCTAAAATATATGTGACTGTAGGAATCCTCTGTTGGACATACGCATACACACCAACTTATCTATTGCAAGGGTCTATATTATTAGTATGACTGTATATTAAATAATTTTATTATCTGAAAAATTTGAGTGCATTGAAGATAAAACTGACTCCTGAAATCTAAGTCCTATTTAATCAAAACTTGCTTCAAAACCTTCCCAAAGTTTCAACATGTATTATTTTTTCGTGTGTGTGACAAGGTCGCACTCTGTCGCCCAGATGGTGCAGTGGTGTGATCTCAGTTCACTGCAACCTCTGCCTCCCGCCTCAAGTGAAACCTCCCACCTCAGCCTCCCAAGTAGCTGGAATTACAGGTGCCCACCACCACACACAGCTAATTTTTGTGGGTTTTGCAGAGATGAGGTTTCACCATGTTGTCCAGGCTGGTCTCGAACTCCTGGGCTCAAGCGATCTGCCTGCCTTGGCCTCCCAAAGTGCTGGCATTACAGGCATGAGCCACTGCACCCGGTCAACATGTATTCTTAAACAGATTTAAAATGCTTTCTTCATAGCATTAAAAATGTTTCACAATAATTTACATGAGAACTCTATGGAAGCTTAATATATTTCCAGCATAGGATACACACAATGATTCAATGTCCTGGCCCTTGAAGTACACATAATTGGAATGAGGAGAAGGACATTTGGAAAATAATTACCATGCAATATGATACCTGCTATTGTACAGGTTCTTACAGGTGCTACAGAAGAATCAAAGGAAAGGGAGACTAATTCCACCTCAGAGAATTAATGAAATGTATCACGGCAAAGATCAGATTTTGTCTGGGTCCCAAAGGACGTTCAAAAGCTTGGTAGGTTGAGAAAGTGGGAAACAGCATTCCAGGTCTAAGGAGACTGCCTTAAAGTTTAAGTAGGACAGTCAAAGAGTGGAGGAAATAAGTCAAAATAGGAAAATGACAAAAAATAGAGAACCTTGTAGGCCAGGCTTAGGACTTCTAACTTAAGACAATGGAGATCATCAAAGACCCTTTAGATGACTAAGTCTGAGAGCAGTGTGTAAAAGGATTGGCTTGAAAAGATCAAAATCAGGAAGTCCAGATAGAATTGAGAAGACTATGGCAAATAGTGTTGGTTGATGAAAAGGCATTGTTGGTATTAATGGGAGATTCCAGAGATACTATCCAACCTGTTTTATACTTTTTTGATCAGGTTGCATGTCTAAGAACATCCCTAGGAAGTATTACTTTTCACTGCATTATTTTTTACTATTCAACTATAAAGTAAATGGATGCATGTAACTGTTGAGCCTTTCCTTGCACTCATGCCATAAATGTAAGAACATAAAGCTACACCTTAAAGTTACCTTTTAGCTCTTTTATTTTTTATGTTTTAGTAGTATTCAGTCTATTCTACTGAATTCAGTCCCGATTTGTTATATTTTATTTACTCTTCAAAGAAAGTTTTTCAAATGACAATTGAAATAAAAGAAGATACCATTTGTTCTGTAGATTATCTACATTCCAATTCCTATTTCCTAGGTTCCCTATTCTAATCATCTACTTTTCTATATTTTCTTCATCACCAAATACAGGCAGTCACAGGCAAGTGCAGGAGTTAATAATCATTGATAAATTACATGTTATATAGACTTTGATATTCAATTTCTCTGGAGATATATAACTATATATACCCTTCTTTCCCTCAGAGGGCTTTAAGGAAACTAAATCCCCAAAACTAAAAGCACTGACTCATGGTTTAAAGGGTAAGTTAAATCTCTCTGTAAAGGAAAGCCTAAATGTGATCTTTGCAAACATAACTGGTGATCAATAGCCGAAAGATTAAAGCAGTACATATGCAAAAAGGAAGATTGAAACTTAACATTTTGTTTATTGATGTCATTCTTAGATCTCAATTAATTTAATTTGATACATCAACCTCCGTCCTCAATCAAACACTAGATGGATAAAGATAATCACTATTATGTAATAGTCAATACGCCCAGGTGTCTCCTGGCATATATGATCTATTGAAATACATATATTATTATATTTTAACTAAGAAACACAGTATCTAACCCAAGTATTATGTACATTTTTTAAACAATTCACTTCCTTGAAAGTTATGAGTTACCAATCATTTTTAATAAATTTCTCCCAGCTTTACATTTATCTATCAATTATATCTGAACTTCAAATACACTCTGGATGCATTTGTCTCAGAGCAATGATGGTGTCTAAGCTTGCAGTTTCTGTGTCTGTGAAATTCATTTGCAGTAAATTGTGAATAAATAAATGCAGTAAAAAGCCTAGGCTCCTTGGAGAGTCTACATTCTCCTCCCTCCCATCTCTTTCTCTCTTCTTCTCTCCTACCCTCTCATCCTCCATCTGTCCCTTTCCCTATCCTTCTTATCACACATGGGAAAAACTCAATTGAATTAAATTCAGTCTACCAGAAGTATACAATTGAATTTTTGATAAACACACCAGAAATTAGATGTGTATGTTCATTTATTCCTTCCGCACATATTTGTTGAATGTTTACTTCATGCCACACTATGGATCAAGCAGTGAAGATAAAACAGTAAACAAGACATGCAAGGAAACTACTCTCATGGAACTTCCAATCTATTGTAGGGAATAGCAAATAAATGACAAAATAACATAATCACCCAATATAATAAGTGTTATTGAAGAAATAAACAAGATGTTCAGATAGAAAGTACCTAAAATAGAGAGTCCAGGGAAGGAGAGAGAACTAGTCTGGATTTCATAGTCAAAGAAGGTGTTTTTTTGGATGTGCAATTAAACAGATTTGAAGGATGAAAATTATTCCATCATGCAAAATAATAGCACAAGTTTGTCCAGGAAAGAGCCTTTGCAAATTCCCTGGGATGGAATAGAGGCCTTCATTACTGTTTGGAACTTCTCTCTTCAATCTACCTTTGTAGCCTAAAAGGCATTTTTAAATATGGTCAAGAATGTTGAAACTGTTTTTCTTGATAGTGTAAATAAATGTATGAACTACTCAAACAATTAGCTATAGTGATAAATCGAATAAGTTGGTAGGTTTGAATATGCTGGATAACACTGTTTCTGATACCACCTAGAGACTGGTTCCCATCTGTCAACTGGTTATAAAACAATTTTGGAAGGAATATTATAACTTGCAAAGAAAACGAACAGAATTCAGAGAAAAAGTAACAAAAATTGCTCTTAAATATTTGAAAATATGTTCATCCTCATTCCTGAGTAGATAAGTGCAAACTAAAAGACATAGTTTCATAGTTTTTCACCAATCATATTGGCAAAGATCAAAAGTTTGGTAGTATACTGCGTTTTTTATGGTATGAGGAAATTGATGTTCTCATACCTTCCTGACAGATTTGAACTGATATACGTGGCCATGTGTATGACTATGCGCATGTATGTACAGCAGATATCTGAAAGAATACACAGAAAACCGCAATGCCAGCACCCCCAGTAAGAGAGAAGGAGGATAACTAGGAGGCTAGCTAACATAATAGGAGAAACAATTTTCTTTATGCGTTCTTTTTTGTTTACCTCTATGAATTTTGTACTATGTGCAATTAACTAGGTAATTGGAGCTTTAAGAGCACTTTGGGGGTCATTAACACTAAAAATATTTTACATAGAAATAATTATAAGCATATTCATCCAACCATTTATTTATTTATCCATGCACCCATCCATCCATTCATCCATCCATCCGTTTATCTCTTCATCCATCTCATGTTTAATTTGTATAAACGTTTATTTATCCCATAGACTCTATGTATGTATGGTACATGTAAGGTTATATAAGAGATACAATGTTAAATAAGGCAGTTTCTACTATCCCTAAATTTACAATGAAGGAGAAAAGCTACCTCATGATTACAGATATGAAGGGTTTGGTAAATGCATCACCAAGGCTTACACATAAGCAGAAGGAGAGGGTGCAGAGAGCTAAAAGGCTCCCCCAAAGGACTGAAACTTGAAAGGAATTCTGCAGATAGGTTTGAAAGCCCTGACATGATTTTTTTTTTTTTTTACTGTTTCCTATTGCATATTCTTTTGTCCCTTTCAAGTATGAAAATTCTTATAATTTCCTTCAATGTATACTCTCTAAGTAATAAAAACAATTGTATTCTCAAAAGCTAACAAACAAGAAAGCAAGCAAACAAAAGTTCAGGTATCACATTTGCAGTAATATACAAGTGCTTTCATTAAAATTATGCTTTTATGTGTTTACTTAGAGGAGTCTTGAGAAAATATTTAGACCTACCCCCTAAGCTTTAGGGAAGTGGTCCCCAACCTTTTTAGCACCAGGGACTGGTTTCGTGGAAGACAATTTTTTCACAGACTTGGGCTGGGGAGATGGTTTGGGAATGATTCAAGCACATTACAACATTTATCATTAAATTCTCATAAGGAGCACACAACCTAGATCCCTCGCATGCGCAGGTCACAATAGGGTTCTCGCTCCTATGAGAATGTAATGCTGCTGCTTATCTGACAGGAGGCAGAGCTCAGGCTTGCCCGGGGCTCACTTCCTGCTGTTCCCCCTGGTTTCTAACAGGTCACGGACCGATTGGTCTGGGGCCCAGGGTTTGGGGACCCCTGCTTTGGGGACCCCTGCTTTGGGGAGAACAGCATAAAAAGGCAGCATTTCTGAAACTGTTCTAGATTTTTATTTTTCTGTCAGTAAAATGGTTGTAGTATTGGTATATAAATCTTACACTGTATTGTAGAGTCTCAATAAAGTTACTCACTGAATGAATATTTTAAAAAGTTTTCCCTTATTAAATTACAAAAGTAAAATAGGAGTACTATAACATAATCTACATAAATACCAAATATGAATTGATATATTTTTCCTATATTTTAACAGAAATTCTTCTTGAGAGAAACATAGAATTCTATGTCTCCTATTTATAGACATTAACTGCTACATTTTGCACAACCACTTTTACCGTTAGAAAGAGAACTGTACTTTGATGGTTACATAGCACCTTTTCCTCATGTACAAAATACTAATGCTACTAACAAAAATAATTTTAAGTGATCAAAATATGAAATGTAATTATCAAACCCCATTATGAGGATGAGGTTAAGATAAAGTAAAATCATCTTTGTCAGGGTGGGGCGCAGTGGCTCACACCTGTAATCTCAATACTTTGGGAGGCCAAGGCAGGGGGATCACTTGAGGCCAGGAGTTCGAGACCAGCCTGGCCATTATAGCGAAACCCCATCTCTACTAAAAATACAAAAATTAGATGGGTGTGGTGGCACACCCCTGTAATCCCAGCTACTCGGTAGGCTGAGGTGGGAGAATCGCTTAACCCCGGGAGCCAGAGGTTGCAGTGAGCCAAGATCGCACCACTTCACTCCAGCCTGGGCAACAGAAGTGAGATCTTAAAAAAAAAACAAAAACAAAAACAAAAAATCAACTTTATCTATGCTTTGCTATAGGTGTTAACGATAATTGCCTATTGTCCTACATGGATGATTTTATTAATAGTGATTACATAAAAAAATGAAAAACTTTCTGTGTAGTGGTGATGTAAAAAGATAGTTTTCATCACATGGATTTGTTATATTTTTAAAAAGATAATTCTTCATAGGTTTTTCAGGGATTGTCTGGTTTTATTTGTTTAATGAAAAATAAATGAGGTAACGTCTCATTGTAAAATAAGAGTTTAAATTTTAATTAGGAAAAGATACCCAAGACAGAAATACATTTAAAATAAGATAGATTATCACTTTTAATTATAGAAAATGAAGCTTTCCAGAATTATGTTTAAATTTATAGATGCATTAAAAACTATCAAGTTTAAACATTTAAGTACCTGAATAATGTTGAGCAAATAGCAACTTTGGACTATGCTGGCATGAGGAGAGTGAGGAAATGCCACGATAAAAATCAGAAATTATTAAAGAAGTCCTTGCTTTCTTTTGCTTACAAAAGATTCTATTGATATTGAAAAACAAACCAAAACAAACAAAAAAATGGCTACGGCATCTGGATTCAAAATGTTTCCATAAGTCTATGGATGCAAAGTGAGTCTCAATTTTATGAAATAAGAAAAAAGAAAAATGTTAGCTAGACCAGGCATGATGGATCACACTTGTAATCCCAGCACTTTGGGAGGCTGAGGCGGGAGGATTGCTTGAGGCCAGGAGTTCTAGACCAGCTTGGGAAACATAGCAAGACCCTGTCTCCACGAAAAATAAAAAGAAAATTAGCAGGGCGTGGTGTGCACTTGTCCCAGCTACTCAGGAGGTGCAGGTGGGAGAATCATCTGAGCCCAGGAATTCAAGGTTAGAGTGAGCTATGATCATGCCACTGCACTTCAGCCTGGGTGCCAGAGAGAGATCTTGTCCCTTAAAGATAAAAATAAAAAATAAATATTAGCTAACCTACTAGTTTTACCTGAGTTCCTTCAGTGGATTACAACATATTTCAAACCACAGCCCTATTGAAGTTAATTTCTGTGTGATGGAATTTATTAGCTTTATGTTTTAAAATACACTGATTTTCTCCTCTGAAAGAGTGAGAAAATATTCTTTAGAAACAGTTTACATTACAAACTCTGATGAGTGGATATGAATACTTTGCCAATGAAATGTGTGTGGATACTTGGAAATTGGCTGGGACATGAATAAATTGCTCAACCCTATTACTGTACACACTGAAGTACTATTTTTTAGTACTTCAGCAGTAGGTCAGCAGTAGAATCCTCATATCCCCAAAGAAAGAACATTATAAATATATGTGTAAATTTTTAGCATAAAACGTGTTTAAAATAAAATATTAAGATGGAATATTAAGTATAACCTGAATATTAAGAACAGATACACTCGGAATTAGTGGGGTTGGGGAAAAAGTAGAAGACAGCTCTGTGGCCGATGGTTTTGGTAATAATGTTTAGGGATTCCAGGAATATGATTTTCAATGTCATAGTATTTTTCCAAATGACTAAGTAGGTTTTTCAAAAACTCTGGGTTTTTTTTTTTTTTTTTTTTTTTTTTTTTAGAAAAATAATTGATGGACTCAATCTGAAAGTTATTTTGGCCTACCATACAAAGCCTATGCAGTTCTCAGTATGTGACCTGCTGGAATGAGTGTGACCACCTCAGTAGATACTAACGTTGTACTGGCAATACTTTTAAGTTTAAAACCACAACATTGTATTCCGGAAGACTTCTATTTTGAGTCTTTTCATTCTGATAGTATCCTCCAAGGAACTTTAAAGAATAGAACCCCTGATTCAGGTAACAAGATCTGAATGTTTGGGATGCATCAGTGAGTAGAAGCAATTCACGCACTTTCAGAAGTCCTTAACTTTTGGGCCCCTCAAGTAACTGGACTGTAACTTGAATCCAGTAAATGAACTACATGAAACTGTCACCAAACTAAAGCAATTGATGAAACAGTAACACGAATAAATATAAAAGGCACTGCTAAAAAGGCTTTAAGAAAGGCTTTTTAACATTTTTGAGGGAAATAGTATGTAAAAGTGTAGTACATGATAACTAAAATTAGTTAAATTAATTGCAGGAGTTACTTTAATCACCACATGTCTACATAACAATCTAAACTACTAAACGTTATAATCTTCAAGAAAAGGCTACAACTATGAAAAAGAGCATTGGTGAATGTATTAAGTTTGATAGTAAAAACAAAACAGACAAATTAAGCTGATTTGGCCATTGATTAACTTTTGGATATTGGGGGACATAAATATTTATGGCTTGTTTTCTATATCTTTAAATTGAGTATGGATCCAGCAATCCCATTACTGAGTATGTATCCCAAAGAAATGAAATCATTATATTGAAAAGATATGTGCACTCCCGTGTTCATTGCAGCATTGTTCACAATAGCCAAGGTATGGATTCAACCTAAATGTCCATCAACAAATGAATGGATAATGAAAATGTGGTCACACACACACACAATGGAATATAATTCAGACATGAAAGAAGAAAATCTACCATTTGTGACAACATGGATAATCCTGGAGGAAGTTTTGCTAAGTGCAATAAGCCAGGCACAGAAAGCCAAATAACATATGATCTCGCTTATTATAGGTGGTATCTAAAAAGTTGGGCTCATAGAAGTAGAGAGTAGAATAGTGGTTACCAGAGACTGGGAGGAGGGTGTGAGGCTTGCAGAGATATTGATCAAAGAATACAAAATTTCATTTAGACAGGAGAAATAAGTTCGAGAGATCTATTGTACATGTTGATTCTACAGGTGGTTCATAACAATGTATTATACTCTTGAAAATTGCTAAGAGAGTAGATTTTAAGTGTTTTTCACTTGGCTGGGTGCAGTGGCTCACGCCTGTAATCCCAGTACTTTGGGAGGCGGAAGCGGGCGGATTGCCTGAGCTCAGGAGTTCCTGACCAGCCTGGGCAACATAGTGAAACCCCGTCTCTACTAAAACACACAAAAAATTAGCAGGATGTGGCGGCGTGAGGCTGTAGTCCCAGCTACTCAGGAGGCTGAGGCAGGAGAATCGCTTGAACCTGTGAGGCAGAAGTTGCAGTGAACCGAGATCAAGCCACTGCACTCCTGCCTGGGAGACGGAGCAAGACTCCATCTCCAAAAAAAAAAAAAAAAAGTGTTCTTCCTACAAAAAAATAAGCATGTGAGGTAATAAATATGTTAATTAGCTTGACTGAGCCATTCATATATATATATTCAAAACAACATGTTGAATGAAATAAAGATAAACAATTTTTTCTATCCATTAAAATTAACTATTTAATTTAAATAAAATAAAATGGATTTGATCATCCTAACACATTTACTAGGTTGTTATAAGATCTAAACATGGCATCATCTGCAGAGGTCTTGGCTTAATGTCTGACATATATTAATTGCTTAGCAAATCGTAGCTGTAATCACTAAATAAATAAATTTATTGACTTTTTTATTCCATAGTACCCTTCGCTACATTATTTGTATCTCTACTTCGTCTACTGGGAAGGTATGCCTGTGGCAGAAAAGTTTCCATCTTATCTAGCCTTTCTCACATTCCCTTCTGTCCAAATCATTCCAGCCCACTCTGAATCTAACTTGTTTTGACAGAGTACTTATTTACTTGGCACATGATAGGTTCTTAATAAATATTTGTTTATTGCCTTATAGGAAGAAAGTTATGAAGGAAATATAACTTGTTTACTGAGGGGTAGCAAGTTTCCTTCTTTCTTTCTTTTTTTTTTTTTTTTTTTTTTTTGATGGAATTTCACTCTTGTTGCCCAGGCTGGAGTATGATGGCCAGATCTCAGCTCACCACAACCTCCGCCTTTTAGTGGAGATGATGTTTCTCCATGTTGGTCAGGCTGGTCTTGAACTCCCGGCCTCAGGTGACCCGCTGCCTCGGACGCCCGGCCGCAAGTCTTTCTTTTATCTTACTAAACACAGACAAATGATGGAGAAAAAGTCTGTTAAGCAAATGCATACTGTCTTGGATTATTTAAGTTTTCGGGTATTTAGGTTGATTTCCCAACTAGGATATCCTGGAAACAGATTTAATGTAAATCATCTTATCCCTTCAATCTTTAGATTCTGTATTAATCTTTCTAAAAATTTGCTCTTATGTTCTTCTGGAACATTTATATCCCTAATAGGGATGGTAAATCTGATAATCTGATATTCAAGGTAGCATGGTGCACACACGGATTATTTGATTTAGAAAAAAAATAGACATGTGTTTCCCTAACCGCTTGTAAAATGCAGCATGTATATAAATCATCTCATGTATTAGGCAGTTTCCATTTTCCCAAAAGAAAATATGCCTGTGAGCCCTCAAAAATATTTTAGGCCAACATGTATACACAAAATTTTAGGACTTTAGCAAATATATATAATCAATTGTATGCATGATTTTGATAAGAAATTGATGCCATTAATTTTCTATGATAAAAATATTAAATATTTTTATATTTCATATTTATATCATATAAAACATTAGAAATATTAGAAATGCTGGCATGTTTTTTAGTCTCGCATTTCATGAAATGACTTTATTCGATCTCTTTGAAAGCTACTTTGAGGTAATTTTTTTCTTTGTCATAAGAACCCCTTTTTTTAATGTCATCTAGAAGCTTTTTTCAGAACCCATCAACTCCATTTCCAGCTACATAAGTTGAGATAAATTACTTTGTGAATATGTATGCTCTTCGTCATAAAAATTTGACCTCACGCCACACTCTGCTTGCTAGTAAGAAAGCTGTTGTTTATATTTTTCCCCTTGTCTTTTGGTGTATATTTGTGAATTCAATAGCATGACTGCTTACTGTTTTGTATATGTGGATACGTAGGTATGTGTGATTTTTTAAATTATCATTAACAATGACACCTAGCAAGTAAGAAGATGAAGTCAGATACCTGGGAATAATCTAACATTCAATATTTGCCTTCAGTTTTTCAATCCGTTTCATCAGGTAACCTACTTACAGATGTAAAACTTGCAATGATTTGTCTTCTAAACAGTATTATCTTATTCAGAGTAAAGCAATTGAGAGTTCTTTCTAAAATAAGAGATTTTTAAAATATAATTAAGCAACTTTGAACAAATTCACCTATAAGGAGACGTACCAGTTATAACACTGTTAACTTACATGGGGTTGGGGTAATTGCTTACAATCAGATATTCTCAGACATTACAAACTTTAGGTTGCAGTACTACAAACAAATATAATGAAAACGGTGAATAAACATTTGTTTATGCATGGCTTTATTCTTTTGTTCACCAATTCCTTGTTCTGTTTAAACACATTCCAAAAACATTTACCCATAACGTAAAGGAAGGTATGCATAGATATAATTTCAAACATTAGTCAATAGCATTCAGTGACTGAATGGATTTCGGGATGGAGAAAGGAATACAAAAATAAGCGACTTCAGGGATTTCAGATATAGGAGCCTGGAAGCAGTGGTGCTTAATAGAAAGGGGAAAGAGTCATGAAGAGCTGGTTTATGTGGGAGTAGATAATGAGTTCCATTTGGTATATTTAATTTTGAGACTGATGGGGGGACACTTAATTGGAGACGTTCTGTAGGTGTAATTATATTAAGAAGGGGAAAAATTCAATTAGAGCTCCACCAAATTATATCAGCTGTGTCCAAACCATATTGATTGCCTGTGTGTATAGCTGGTGTGCAGTGTAGCAGAGCTGAATGCTACTAAGCTCCCTTCCGTTCTACGTTTTTTGATTTGAAGAAGAATATGGAGGGTGACATGCTGGAAAGAGGACATGACCAGCAGCTTTCTCTCTCTCTCTCTCTCTCACTGTTCCTCTGGTTTCTCCTTTGTTTCCTCTACTGCAAATGGATAATACTGTGCCATGTTCAACTAATTGGCCATAGTTACTGAGGATATCAAAACCCATCAAGCACAGATACTTTTCTTTTATATTATTATTATATTTTAAGTTCTGGGATACATGTGCAGAACGTGCAGGTTTGTTACATAGGTATGCACGTGCTATGGTGGACTGCTGCACCCATCAACCCGTCATCTACATTAGGTATTTCTCCTAATGCTATCCCTCCCTTTGCCCCCCACCCCCTGACAGGCCCAGGTGTGTGATGTTCCCTTCCCTGTGTCCATGTGTTCTTGTTGTTCAACTCCCACTTATAAGACAGAACATGTGGTATTTGGTTTTCTGTTCCTGTTTTAGTTTGCTGAGAATGATGGTTTCCAGCTTCATCCATGTCCCTGCAAAGGACATAAACTCATAATTTTTTATGGCTGCACAGTATTCCATGGTGTATATGTGCCACATTTTCTTTATCCAGTCTATCTTTGATGGGCATTTCAACTTACAATGAAGTTACATGCTGATATACCCATCATAGTTTGGAAATTTTGAAACTTGAAAATGCATTTGATACACCTAACAGACTGTACATCATAGGTTAGCCTAGCCTATCTTAAACATGCTTAGAACACTTACGTTAGCCTACAGTTGGGAAAAAAATCATAAAACACAAAGCCTATTTTATAATAAAATGTTGAATATTTCATGTAATTTATTAAATACTATACTGAAAGTCAAAACCAGAATAGTTGTATAGGTCCTCAAAGTATGGTTTCCACAGCATGAGTATCACTTTCGCACCATCCTAAAGTCGAAAAATTGTTAAGTTGAACTACTGTATGTCGGGGACCATCTCTGTACTTGAAAGTAGTCAGAAAACCAAAAAAGTAATAAAAATATATGATACGGTATTATTATTATTATTATTAGGTCTAGTATTCTACTTAGAGAAAGAGGAACTTCCACTAAGTATCTGGATTAAAAGAAGCTTTTGTTATTTATACAACTAAAACGTTGTAGAAATTATTTCCCAACTAATCAAGACGCTTTTAAATGCCTTCACAATCTAATCATAACCTGCTTTTCTAGCCCTATTTTTGGTATTTCACCCAAGCATTCAAGATTTCAGAAACATATAGCTACCCATTGTCCTTCCCAGATACTATGAAATTACATTCCTTTAAGCTTTTGTACATGTTGGTCCCTCCCTCCTGGAATGCAACCCCTACTCCTCCATAACCCCAATTCTTCATTTGATAAATCTTTACATGCTTTGAGATTTATCTCAAATATTACCCCATTCCTCCTACCCTAAGCAAAACCATTCATTTCTTTTGCATTATATATATTTACTATTGCATACACAAAATGCTACATTCTCTATGACACACTATACTAGGTTGTGAACTCATCAAGTGCACTATTTTTTAATTTTTCCATTCTTTACACCTAACTCAAGTCTATGCATATATTTTTCTATTATATGATTCATATATTATATATTATACATTTATTATATATATTATTTTATACTATATTAATACATATTAACAATTAATACTATATATATTTCATATATGTTAAATTATGCATTTTATCTTATTACATATTATATATATTCATATGATTCATATATTATATGGATTCATATAGGTTTGTTAAATTAACAGTGAAAGCCCCAGTTTTTGAGGAAATTGTATGTATTGCCTATATCTTGGCAGTCAACTTTACTAATAAGCTGCTATAAAATAAATATGATTCATTAAGAGTGTAAATGGAATCCTAATAAGGAGATAACCCTAAATTTACGATAGTCAGGCATGTTGTGCAACAGAGAAACTGTATTCTGTAATTGCTAGGGGGAGAGTGCGTGGTTACTGTCGATAGTTGCGTTATTTAGATCATTACATTGCATAAGTAATGTATGCCCATATTGATGTAAACGTTATGCAGGTAATGCATATTTATTACAAATAAATTAGAAAATAGAGTAACTGTGTTATTCTGATTTGCTGAATCTTTTGTTCACATGTAGGCTGAGGTATAAATCAACAGAATAAAAGTGTTTTTATGGCTAAGGTCAGTGAGAGATTCAAACAAACGTATAAGCATATAAGTGTGCTTATATAAGTATGTATTCATAGTCACACACATATACTCACATGCTAACGTATCAATTGATTTAAAGTTAATTTTATAGGGGGTTGATTTGTCACATTATCAAACACTAAAGAATGTATGAGTTTTTAAAATGTCCATGAGTGAAGACCAAATGCCAGCTAACTGAGTGTAACATAGAATATAGGTATATTGAAAGTATTCATATCAACTTATATTTCATCATAAAGCTGTATTTCATTTTAAGGTTTGAAACTCCAATATCTACTGTGTCAAAGCAGATTGAGTATATAAAGGAAATGGGTTCAGTGGTAGCTATGACAAATTAAATTTTGCCTGCTTCTGTAAAGTGGAAAGTCCCTATTCAGAACCAGACAATTGTTACTAGAACTAAAATGAGGGTCTAGAAAATCTATTCAAATATACACACACGCATTATGCTAAACACAAACGTATCTGTCCTTATCAAGTAAAAATAATGAGCAAACATCTGTGCATGAATGTAAGCTCAGTCTACTTTATCAGGGCTATTTCCGATTTTGGCTGATAGATCAGTTTCCTTATTGATATGGCTACAATAGAATCCATTTGAATGAGATTTTGTAACCATAAGGAATTGTATTTTGTAAGGTGGGGTCACAAATCCTTTCCTGTTTCAAACTGATTAACACTGATACTGCTCTTTTGTGAAAATTGCCTGTGTGCAGGACCATATTTGAAAATTTGAACAATAAATAATAAGCATATGTAATAAAAGTAATAGCGATGTGTGTCATATTATATATAGTTTCCGTACTCCCCTAGTGGGGTGGGTGGATTTTATTTTCAGGGGAACTTCCAACCTTATAAACAATTCACCAATACATTTTCCATCTATGGGGTAAAAATGCAATAGGTTATAGCCATATAGTTTACGCCAGACCTCTAAGGCATTTGGAATAAAGGTAGAAAAAAAGGGCAACATTTAATATTTGAATAAATATCATAAGGGTGAAGAAAGGAGAGTCGTGGGTACATATTGAGAGAAAAGTAATTATAAATTGGTATGACTAGAAGAGAATGGCAATGAGCTTTGGCAAATGATCCCCATTATAGTGTAGTTTAAACGATTGATGTACAAGCCCGAAAAGGCTGGAGAATATCAGATCTGCTGGTTACAGGGTGTATCTGACTACCAGTTTCAGGGTACAGCTGAAATAAATCAGTGATCCCAGAAAAGAAGTTTCTTTTTACGTGCAAAACTTCTGAGCAAAGTGATCTCTGCCAGCTGGAGCTGGGGATTCACAGCCTCTATTTTTCCATCAAAAGAATTAAGTTGACTCCCAGATAGAGAATAACTATATATTTTTTTTCAGATGTAGCCTCCTGAGTACTCAAAACCATCTCCAGGATATGGAAAATTCACCTTATCCAAACGTATATGGCTAAAATTCCTTTGTAAGGCACTACCTATTTCCCTGTTTCTTGTATTTGATTAGAGATAACTATTGAGAAAACATGGTTTATGAAAGAAATGGGAAAATATTTTCCCGTTTTGATAAGAATGTATTTTTAAAAAACAAATGGAAACCTAAAGACACAAAAAAATATTTGTAAAGGGGATAATACCCTGAGGGAAGGGAGCCAGAAGTAGAGACTAGAGATATTAAGAAAAACTTTAATGAATTTATATTTTGGCTCAGAGCTCACCTACTAAGGGAGTAAACAGGCAAAGTCACAAAGGTTTATAATCCTTACACTTGCCATTGGTCGGGGTAGGTGATTAGATGTGAAAAAAAATGATGCTTTATTTATTCTGGGCATATTAAACTGAACTGGGTGATTTAAATGAACTGTAGGAAATTCAATGCAACAGCTAAAATGAATGACTAAGGAGCTAGAAGATCTTAATCTGTATAAAGCTGAAAGAACAAAATATGCACAATTTAGCTCTGTGCTAATGAAAGGAAAGAGATAACACTAAAAATAACTGAATGGTGCAGGCTTCAAGGCAGCAGAAGAGTTCTGGCACAAATGGATCTATCCAGAAAAAAATGAGACTTAATTACACAAAGGAAAAACTGTTGACTGTGAGGAAAAGTGTCCCAAGATGAAATGACTGCTGTTGAATGGGAAACCATCAGAGAGGCAGTGACGAGAGTGTTATCTCGACAACTGAAGCAGCTGAAATGAGACACGTTGCCGGAAAAGCCATTACAGACTAAATACCCCCTGGTCCTAAAGAGATAGATGCACATCAACTTAAGGAGAATTGCAGAGCAGGCACACCACTAGAACACGGGGCAGTGAGTCAGGAGTAGGGTCTTTATCTCAATGCCATTAGGTGTAGTCTTGCTCAACCTAATTTATTTCTGCGGCTTGGATTGCTTTCTGACTATTCTGCTTCAGTGGAATGTCGTTGTGACCAATTTTGTTGCTACTAAAATACTTAAGTAACAAAATCCACTTCTTGATAAAGATTTAATGTCATCTAATCCCTAAGAGTTAAGGACATTACAAAGATTATCAGTGAATCAATGAATATTGGTAGTCATCATCAAAAAACAATAGGTTGAGAGTTTCAGTAAAACTAATGAAAACCATATATAAGAACATTATAAATATGATTACAATAGATGCATCTCTTTTAGAAACAAGGTAATAAACACTGTGCTTCCAAGATGTATTTAAGAATGTTGAAGGAAGTGAGGCACACTGACTTGTGCCTATAATCCCCCTGGGAGGCTGAGGTGGGAGGGTTACCTGAGGCCAGGAGTTAGAGATCAGCCTGGGCAACAAAGAGAGACCATATCTTTAAAAGAATTTTGTTTTAGTTAGCCAGGTGAAGTGGCACCCACCTGTAATCCCAGCTATTCAGGAGGATTGCTTGAACCTAGGGGTTCAAGCCTGGGTGACAGAGAAATACCGCATCTCTAAAAACAATTTTAAATTTAAAAATAGAAAAAAGCATGCTACACTGGGCCCCAAGATCTATGCTTGCCTCCAATTTTTCCCCAATTTTTATGATTTCCCTTTGTGTAATGTGATATTTGATGCATAAAAGAATATATGTAATGGATATGTAAATTACAAAGCTCAATAATAAAACAAACATATGTCCATCCCAATAACTGAAATATTAGCAACAACTCACACCTGAACCTATGTGCTCCTACACTAGTTCTTCACTCTTTTGTACCCCTCCCTCCATTTACCCAGGATTAACTACCATCCAGAATCTGGGGATTGTCATATCATTGCCTTTGATTTCTTTTGTTTGCTCATTTGTTTTGTGTTGGTTTTTTCGATTTATCACACATGCATGTATGCCAAAACAATATTTTCATTAGGTGTTCCTATGCTTGAGCTTTCTGGAGTGTTGTCTAATACAAGGGTCAGCACACTACCGCCCATGGGCTCCCCGGCTCTGGAGTGAGTGCACTTCCCCAGGCTGGAGCGCAGTGGCGCGATCTCGGCTCACTGCAAGCTCCGCCTCCCGGGTTCACGCCATTCTCCTGCCTCAGCCTCCCGAGTAGCTGGGACTACAGGCGCCCGCCACCACGCCCCGCTAATTTCTTGTATTTTTAGTAGAGACGGGGTTTCACCGTGTTAGCCAGGATGGTCTCGATCTGCTGACCTCATGATCCGCCCATCTCGGCCTCCCAAAGTGCTGGGATTACAGGCGTGAGCCACCGCGCCCGGCCTCCCTGACAGTTTTTAAAAATGAAGTTTTATTAGACTCACTCACACCTATTCACTCATATAATAACTATGGCTGCTTTGATGCCACAACAACATAGTTAGGTATTTGCAATATGACCTAGAAGCCTGAAATATGTACTATCTGGCCCTTTAAGAAAATGTTTGTGGACCTCTACATTATGTTTTTATGATTTTCTCATATTCTTACATGTGATCATAGTTAATTATTTATACTGCTATATAATATTCCATGGTATGACCATAATACAATTATTTGCTATTATGAACACTGTAGCTACGAATGTCCTTCCCTCCCTCTCTGGCACTGGAGACACTCAGTGTAAATTGATTTCCTAAATTAATTCTTTAATCCTTTTTGCGCTGAATATAGAAGTCACAAAGTCACACAAACATTAAAGAATATTTGGAAATAAGAGTAGAGTACAGAAAATGCAAGGAAAAAAAAACAATTCTATCTCTCCCCCTTAGACAACCGGTAATACTAATGTTATGCCTTTTTCCTCTTGCTGTGAAACTCCTTATCCATTAACAGCTAAGGAAGGATCACTGTCGCCTCACCTTCCTTTTTCATCCTGCCTATTATGAATAATCCATAAATCTCATTTTAATGATTTCACTAGAAAGCATTAAATGTAAATAATCCGTGGGGGTGGACATAGGAGGTAATATTAGACGAGCAAAAGGAAGAGGCAAGATTTAAAAGACCTTATTAAGCTTTTAAAATGTTTTAGCACATGTATTCTGTTCTTAATATTTCACACACACAAAAAAAACTGTCTAGAAACCACAGGTGATTTCATAACTTTACTTGTATCTCTTTTTTTTTTTTCTGGAGACGGAGTTTTGCTCTTGTTGCCCAGGCTGGAGTGCAATGGCGCCATCTCAGCTCACCACAACCTCCGCCTCCTGGGTTCAAGAGATTCTCCTGCCTCAGACTCCGGAGTAGCTGGGGTTACAGGCATGCACCACCACGCCTGGCTAATTTTGTATTTTTAGTAGAGATGGGCTTTTTCCACTTTGGTCAGGCTGGTCTCGAACTCCTGACCTCAGGTGATCTGCCTGCCTCGGCCTCCCAAAGTGTTGGGATTTACAGGCGTGAGCCACCGCGCCCAGCTTACTTGTATCTCTTAATCCCATCATAAAGGGGCATATCCTATTACTTTAAAAGCCAACAATTCCCTCTCATTTTCATTCACCATGAGTTACTACTACTCCTGAAACCTTCACAAAGTTTCCCAGAAACAGGACAGCCCACTCCTAGCCCATGGGCCTCTTCCCTTCCTCATTTCTTACCCTTTTCTTCCTCCCTGCTTTTTTTCTTGAAATAAAATTTCCCCAAAAGCTAGTCTGCCACTGCAAGCACATCCTCAGATAACTGGATAAAGGAAGATAATGTGGCACAGAGGAGTCTGGGGATACTTCTAGCCAAATAGTTTTTGTGCCATAATAATCTTTATGACAGTAGGATCCTGAAATGTTACCTAGAACACTTGTGCCTAGTCCCAATTTCTGGTGGGATAAAACTGTATATAAGGGAATCATTACAGGTGCTTGCGTCTGAGACACTTCTGGCTATGATTGAGTCTCCTACACATTATCAAAAAACGTGTAATGCTTTAATAACAAAAGTAAATGAAAATCCTCAAAGGAGTTAATATGCTAATGTACATAGTCACTTTATAAGAGGGTAGTGTAAGCAAATTATCCCACATTAACTCAATCAGAGTCCCGGTAGAAACTGGAGGATTGATTTCTCAATCTCGGGGTATGTGAGGCCAGTTTGCTAAAGGGGTTATCAACAGAGATATGCTCAGTGTTAGGAAATTCAAGAAGGGATGACGGAGAGTTAACTGTAGACCTCAAGGGTTAAGAGGAAGGACGTTTCCTGAACTAGAGAGCCAGACCCAATAGAAATGCAAGAGAGAACTGTCCAGCAGAAGCTCTGGTCTAATGTTAGCTGTTCAGAGCTAACCTGTGGAAATCCCATGGGGCCACATGAAAATAAATACTCCACCCTTTTCTTATCCACTGTACTCCTCCTGCTGCAGCCTGTCTCAACTGGAAACTGTAGGGCAAAGGAACTCTGATGCCATTCCTAAAGGGCAGTCCCCAGGACACAAAGCACAGTGGTAAAGAATGAAAAATGGATTTGAAAGGACAAGAGGGAAAGAATTTATGCACTAAGCATAACTTTTCCCTTTCAAGTTAATCTAGTATGTTGAGTTGGTTTGCTCTTTAACTAAACCCCCCTGTTTCCAAAGCCTGAGGATAACATACTACCTACTGAGTTGGTAAACAACCTTAAGGCAGCAGTCCTGGAGCCTAGACAGAGACATTGGATGAGTAGACGAATGGAGGTACACGAGGTATACATGGATGGATGCATGGATGGATAGGTGAATGGATGGATGAAGTCAATCACATTAGTATTTTACAGACACACGTTACACAACCTGTATCTGAACACGATGAGTCTCTCTTCCTCCTTTGATTATGGAAGTTAAGAGCAAGCACTGAGGTAACCAATATTATATAGATTTCTGGAGTAAAACAGGTACTCATCATGACTATCAACGATTTGAATTTGGGGATGATGTCAATTATTCAAAGAACCTGAAAAAAGTAGTGAAGTTGCTTATCTGAGGCCCCAGAACTTCCTTCATTTTACTCTGGCTTTCAACGTTGGATACACATTAAAATTATCTAGGAAACTTTTCAAACTGAGATGCTCGGATTACAGACCACTTAAGTCAGACTCTGTGGAAATAGAACGCAGATATCACTGTTTGTAAACACTCCACCAATGTGTAGCAAAATGCGAAAACTACTGATCTTTCCACTCTCTTTAAGATCTACCATTATGAGCCCCAAAATCATTCTGGTTCTCTTGGTAATTTACATTTTTTAAAGGAAACTCTAAGATGCCTTGCTGATAATATTATATATGAAAAGGGTTATCGAATTTATCGGGTTTGGGGTTGGGGGAAATAATACTTATCAAAGGAGTAAAAATATGAGCAGTTCATAAAATAACCTGTGATAGTCCAGATTACTTGCATATTTTCCCTTGCATTTCAGAGTCCTTATCAGTATTCAAAGGACTGTAGAGCTTTTAGAAATGCTTCAGTGAGGAACACTTTATACTCTGTCCCTGATAAATGAAAGTGTTTATTTCCTCTCAGATAAGTCAGTAACAAGCAAGTATTTTCTAGCAACTGGACTATACCCACCTATTCATTTCCCAAGGCTCATTGGGCATCACTAGGAATACAACAGGTTTTAGTTACTACCAACCCCAGTTACTGTAGAATTAGGCAATTATATAAGAGTTTAAAAAATCAGTAAGGATGTTTTTATTTTAAACTACTTGGATAATTGAAAAGTAGGTAGACAACATTTATTTTTTGTCTTTATTTGCCAAACGACTGTATTAGATTTAAAACCAGAAAACAAGCCCCTATGTAGAATATAGATTCTCACCAGTTCATAGATCAAGTAATAAGACATTTCCTAGGGTGTTTAATTGTTTGATACTAAGAGCAATAAATTATAGGAAAATAATTTGTAATAATTGGTTAAGTAATTAACCACAATTAAGAAAAGATGATGGAATCCCTGAGGATATCCGACAATACTGACAACATTATAAACTTTAAGAGAAAAAAAATAGTTGTTGCAGAGCAAGAAAAGTCATCATGTGCCTAGCACAAATAGAGGTCTAATTATAGGGGATTTTACGTTTTTCATAATGTCTACAATGAGCATATACTACATTTATAATCACGAACAGTCCATTAGCAGGTATCATATATCTGAGTTGGGAAATACCCTGTCACTTCGCTAATACTTCTTTCTTTTTGTTCTAATAGTGTATTCACCAAATAATCTTCTAAATATATATGTGTATATATATATATTTGAGATATATATGTATATATATTTGAGATATATATGTATATATATGTGTATATACGTGTATATATATATTTGAGATATATATATGCAGGAAGAAGTGAGTGACATTCTAAGAAACACTAATGACCAAAAAACCACATAATATCTTTTCTTAGTGGTGTTCCTTCCTTATATTGGCCAACCACCTTGCAATAAAAAATGATGATGTAGACAGAAAGGAAAAGTTAGAGCTACCTATTCTTTTTCCTTTCCTTTTAGTCCCTCCTTACACGTCAGTAAGCCAAAGGGCATCTTCTTGATAAACTGTACATTTATGAAGAAAGGAAATAAAAACCATTAAGTTCATTTTATGCAGCATTTCCACTATTCTGGTAAGTAAAGAAAGCATGTGTGTGGATGATGTATGAAATACAAATTGTGTAATTTCTATGACTCTCCATATAAGTTAAATATTCTCATATATCCATCTAAAAATAGCACTGACTTCAGTAAAGTTTCAGGAAACAAAATCAATATACAAAAATCAGTAACATTTCTACATACCAGTAATTTTCAAGCTAAGCACCAAATCAAGTATGCAATCCCATTTATAATAGCCATAAAAAATAAAAGAGGTGAATGATCTCTATGAGAAGACTTACAGAACACTACTAAAATAAATCACAGATGACACAAACAAATAGAAAAACTTTCCATACTCATGGATTAGAAGAATCAATATCATTAAAATGGCCATACTACCCAAAGCAATCTACGAATTAAATGTTATTCCTATCAAACCACTAACATCATTTTTCACAGAACTGGAAAAAAGCTATACTAAAATTCATATAGAACCAAAAAGGAGCCCAAAAGTAATCCTAAGGAAAAAGAACAAAGCCAGAGGCAGCACATTACCCAACTTCAAACTATACTATAAGGCTACAGCAACCGAATCAGCATGGTATAACGTTTCAGTTACATACAATGAATAAGTTCTGGAGATCTAATGCACAGCATAGGGACTATAGTCAGTAATACTGTATTGTATACTTGAAATTTGCTGAGAGTAAATTGTAAGTTTTCTTACCACAGACACAAAATAACTATGTGAAGAGATGGATATGTTAATTAGCTTAACTGTAGTAATCAGTTCACTGCGTATATGCACATCAAAACATCCCATTATACATCTTAAATATAGGCAATTTTTATAACATTTAAATAAGAGCAAAAACAAAAACAAAAACAGCATGGTACTGGCACAAAAACAGACACATAAACCAATGGAACAAAGTAGAGAACCCAGAAATAAAGCCACACACCTGCAGCCATATGATTTTCAACAAAGTTGACAAAAATAAGCAATGGGAAAGGACTCCCTGTTCAATAAATGGACTGGCTAGCCATATGTGGAAGAATGAAACTGGATCCCTAATTTTCGACATGTATAAAAATTAACCCAAGATGATTAAAGATTTAAATGTAAGACCTCAAACTAGAAGAATTGTAGAAGAAAACCTAAGAAACATCATTCTGGACATTGGGGTTAGGAAAGCATTTATGACTAAATCCTCAAAAGCAATTGGAGCAAAACCAAAAAATTGACAAGCGAGACCTAATTAAACTAAAAAGCTTCTGCACAGCAAAAGAAACTATCAACAGAGTAACAGACAACCTACGGAACGGGAGAAAATCATTACAAACTACATATCACACAAAGGTTCAATATCTAGAATTTACAAGGAACTTAAAAAACTGAACAAGCAAAATACAACGCCATCAAAAAACAGGCAAAGGGCATGAACAGACACCTCTCAAAAGAAGACATACAAGTAGCCTACAAGCATATGAAAAAATGCTGAATAACATTAATTGTCAGAGAAATGCAAATCAAAACCACAATGAGATACCATCGCACACCAGTCAGAAAGGCCATTATTAAAAACTCAAAAAACAACAAATGCTGGTGAAGCCGCAGAGAAAAGGGAATGCTTATACACTGTTGGTGGGAATGTAAATTAGTTCAGCCACTGTGGAAGGCAGTTTGGAGATTTCCCAAAGAATTTAAGACAGAACTACCATTCAATCCAGCAATCCCATTACTGAATATATATCCAAAATAAATAAAATTGTTTTAACATAAAGACACATGCATTCACGTGTTCATCACAGCACTATTCACAATAGCAAAGACATGGAATTAACCTAGATACACATCATTGGTGGACTGGATAAAGAAAATCTAAATATACCCCATGGAATACTATGCAGCCATAAAACAGAATGAAATCATGTCCTTCGTAGCAACACAGATGCAGCTGTGATGGAGGCCATTATCCTAGGCGAATTCATGCAGCAACGGAACGCCAAATACCACATGTTCTCACTTGTAAGTGGGAGCTATATATTGGGTACTCATGGACATAAAGGTGAAAACGATAGACACTAGGGATTACTAGAAGGGGAAGGAGGGAGGGGGATAAGGGTTGAAAAACTGACTATTGGGTACTATACTCAGTACCTGGGTGACAGGATCATTCGTACCCCAAACCCCTGGAATTCACTTGCATGCTCCCTCCCATAAGGAGTTGAAAACTGGTCTAGGTAAATGAGGCAACCCTGTCACGAGTCCCGGGAAGGGGTCAGGGAAATAGGCTGCTTCGATATCATACAACTCTCTTTTTAAAAGGTCCTTCCAATATTTCTTCCAACTTGAAGTCCAGCTTTACAACAAGTTTCTGGACTCTCTTCTTTCCTACTCTGCAGGTTATCAGAAAATAAAACAAACAAAACCGCAAACTACAAAATAACAAAAACACCCAAGCAATGTGATTAGTTAAGACATTATTAAAGTGTGGGTGTTTCCAGAGACGTTTCCCCTTTACAAACCATCCTATTCTCTTACCTTTTGAGAAGGGAGTGTGTGCGTGTCTACGTGTACATAAGAGAGACAGAGAAAGTGAAAGAGAGGGAGATTTGGTAGATAAAGACTCAATAGACTTAGGAATTTCCTATGTCGTTATTTGAATTTGAGAGATTACTGAGTGTAAGAAAAGATAATCCATTTTGGCTGGAGCAGTGGCTCATGCCTGTAATCCCAGCAATTTGGGAGGCCGAGGCGGGTGGATCACCTGAGGTCAGGAGTTTGAGACCAGCCTGGCCAACATGGTGAAACCCCATCTCTACTAAAAATACAAAAATTAGCCAGGTGTGGCGGTGTGTGCCTATAATCCCAGCTAGTTGGGAGGCTGAGGCAGAAGAATCGCTTCAATCCAGGAGGCAGAGGCTGCAGTGAGCCGAGATGGCACCACTGCACTCCAGCCTGGGTGACAGAGTGAGACTCTGTCTCAAAAAACAAAAAAAGAAAAAAAAAGAGAATCCATTTTAACTTGAATCTTGAAATTTTCTGTAAAGTAGCAGAGGTAAATTGCCATGGAAATCATAGGAAAGGAAATATAAGCCCAACACGGTAATAGACTCTGCAATGAAATATATTTATGGTGCTATAATAATAGTGTACATACTGTTTATATGTTTTCAATTTTTAGAATAAATCTTTGACAAAACACGAGACCTAATCATAGTTAGAGAACACAGAAGGAATGCAACTCAACATAAAATTAAAAGTAGACTTTACAGAATTTGGGAGAAGAAATTCAGTAGGAGAAGTGAAGAAACATGGAGGACCACTAAAATCCCCATTTTATCATGTGAAGGGTTAAGACATACTTTTGACACTGTTTTGAAGAAAAAAATTAACATTTAAGGTCTTCATGTAAAAGAAAAATTAGTTAATAGAACAAATACATGGGGTAGATATAAATGAGATAATTTTTCATCTCTCATAAGAGAGACTGTAGACCATGAAAAAATGAGAAAATCAAGAATTAGAGATATAAACATGTTATTACAGATTTGTCACGCATTAGAAAAAGAGAATGACTCAAATATCTGCCTCTGAGGAGTGAGAAATGAGAGAGGAATGCAGCATATTTAAATAAAAGAACTTATGAAGTAAAAATTACTTGAATCATGTACAGATAATTTGATTAAAAATTGAAAACATTGATTCAAACAAATTTATATTCATTAATAAGCATTGTACACTTTTTAAAATTCCAATAAGAAAAAATGAGAGACTTAAAATTAGGTAGGAATGCATTTCCCAGAGGTTAAAAATTTATATTTTAATATATATGCATATATAAGCGGGATCATAATACAGCATTATATGTATACATACTGTGTATTACAGTCTGCTTTATTTTTTCATGTATGTATTTGGATTACCTTTAATATCAATGCAATCACCTGTAAAATTTTATTTTAAATTTCCCTTCTTTAGAGATATATCATTTTTTAGTAGCCTCCTACTGATGAATACTGGTGTTGTTTCCATTTTTCACTGTAATAACAATTAAACAATAAATATAGGTACAACTCAGTCTTTGCACATAGATGTAAGCATTTCTTCGATAATTTCCCTGGAAATGCAATTGCTTAGTCAAGTGTAAGCACGCTTTCTCTTGATTGGTATTGCAAACTGCTCTCATGAAATAAATTGATTCAGTCTTCTGTCAGAAGCATACAAAGTATACAAGGAAAAGTTATTTTTATTTTCATTATTTGGTTACAAATGAGATCGAACATTTTTTCATATACCTTTGGATGTGTTTTATTTTCTTTTTGTCCAAATATATGGGGTACATGTGTAATTTTGTTACATGCATAGATTGTGTAGTGGTCAAGTTAGGGCTTTTAGAGCGTCCCTCACCCAAATATATCATACACATTAATTTCTCATTATCCACTCCACTCCAACCCCCTCACCCTACTAAGTTTCCATTGTCTATCATTCCACTCTCTGTGTACATGTGTACACATTTTTTAGCACACAATTATGGGTGAACATGCAATATTTGACTTTCTGTGTCTGGTTCATTTCACTTAAAATAATGACCTCCAGGTCTAACACTTTCTTCCTGTATGCTTAAAATTAGGCAATGCATTTATTTTTCTGAATTGATTTGTAAGATTCAATTTCAGTTTACTGGTTTTTAATGTACAGATTTTAAAAATTATCTATGTGTTTTCCATTTTAAATTTTGGGTTTTTAAAATCATTTCTACATAGTTCTCTACCATCGCCTCATTGTAGAAATATTCACCTATCGTTCTTCCTGTTCTTTGGGCTTCTTAAGCTTAATTATGATTGAATATTTGTTCAAGGTGAAATTTAATTCACTGCATTGTGTAAAGCAGGGTTTTGCCTTTTAACATGATTATCAAAACCATTTCTTTCATAGTCCATCTCTATCCACTGATTTGAAATTCCATTTTTATTATATACACTTGAGCATATTTTGGGATTTTCTCTTTTGTTTCACTAATCTGTTTGTATAGACTTTTAGTAGATTTTTTTTTTTTTTTTATACAGAGTCTTGCTCTGTTGCCCAGGCTGGAGTGCAGTGGCGAAATCTCAGCTCACTGCAACCTCTGCCTCCCTGGATCAAGCGATTCTCCTGCCGCAGCCTCCCGAGTAGCTGGGATTACAGGCGCCTGCCATCATGCCCGGCTAATTTTTGTATTTTTAAGTAGAGGCTGGGTTTCACGATGTTGGTTAGGCTGGTCTCGAACTCCTGACCTCAGGTGATCCACCCGCCTCGGCCTCGCAAAGTGCTGGGATTACAGGCGTGAGACACCGCACCCAGCCAGTAGAAGTTTTATTAAACACTCTAATAGCTACATGGGCAAATGACCTTTCATTTAAGGTTTTCAACATTTTCTATTAATCCTCATCTATATTGCTGCCAGATAAACTTTAGAGTAATTCTTGTCACATCCAATGTCTTCCTGCCACCCCAATTTAAATTTTATGTGTTTCTATCAGATTTTAGCTTAATTTGTAGTAAATTATATGTCTAAAATATTAATATTCCCACCAAGAAATATAAAATTATATCTGTCCATGGATGCAAATATTCTGTTATTTTTCCAGTAAAGGCTTGTATATCACCAAATTTCATGCTAAATAAATTCACAGTAATTTCACATTTTGAACTTCTGTGGAAAATGATAGCTTTGATTTTCAATAGGTTGTTAAAAGAGAAATTAGCATTTAGAAAAATTACATTTAATTAATATTTAATTATTTCTAGGTTTTTTCTTTTCTTAATGAGCTTTGGGACTAATTTTTCCCATTAGTTATAATAGTTGTCATTGTTGATTTACTTAGTACCAAGTTGACAATATCATCTATTAATATGAATAATTTGACTTTTTTCCCCAATACTTATACTTCCTGTTTCTTTTACTTGGCTTCTTTCACTGACTAGAATATGCAAAATAGCATTTAAAAAGAGCAGTTTTGGTAGTCATTCTAGTTATATTTCTAATTTTAATGAGGATACCTTCAATATTTCAACATTGATCACAGAGTTGGCTCTTGTTTTGAGATAGACAATATTTTTCATGCTTATAAACTATCATCTATTCTTACATTGCTAAAAGTTTTGTTTCTACTCCTAAATTAGGGACAGATTCTTTTCATTTATCAATACTTTTTCATAACTAAAAAGTATTGTATATTTTTTCCTTCTGATCTTTACCTACAATGAAGGATGTAAATAGATTCTCTTATAGTAGGCATATATGTTTTCCTGAAATAAATCCAATTTGGCATGATAACTTCTTCTCTTATTGGCTAAATCTGCTATGTTTTATAAGATTTGAACGTCTGTATTCCTGAGATTGGTTGATAGTTTTCAATGTGTATGCTATTTTTTTGAAGTCTCATAATCAAGATTATAAGGGCTTTAGAACATGAACATAGAGGTTTAAATACTATTTTCATGGTTTGGAATTTTGTAAACAGATAATTCATACTTAGTTGTTTGAAAGCATTTCTCAATATAGTATTTTTGAAGTTATTTCTTGTACTGCTTTTTAAAGGTTTCTTACAGAATCAAATGTTTAGTTCTCTTATTTTCCCTTTAATCTCAAATATAAAAAAATTAAGGCTATTAATTTTCTTTGATTACAGCTTTGTTCTTATTCCAGAAGTTTTCATGTGTATTTTCCTTATTCATTAATTTTTAAATGGCCTACTTTTTTTTTGGTTCAAGGAAAGAACACTACTTTTTCTCTCCTGTTACAAAAACAATGTATGTTTACCATAAAAAGATACAACAATAACTATTAAGAAAAGTACAGATAACTCATTTTTTCATTAAGCAGCACCACTGCTAACATCCTGTTGTCTACTCTGAGTGTTTTTCTGTATATCTGTCTATAAAAATCTAACGTAAATTCAATGTCCGATTCCTGTATTATCTAAAAATTATATCATATGATCTACTAATCATCTTTTCCTATTTGTTTTAAATTGCTTGCTGGTTTTGTTACATTACATTTTTTTCTAGACATTTTATAACAAAACAGATATATCAAATTAATCATATTCAATGATGTGTTGTTGCAAACATATGTTTATGAAGTCCCTGCTTCGTTGACATTTTTTTTCTTGTTCATATGGCTGGATTTTCTTTGAATTTACGGGCTTTTGTATGGGAGCTGCTATATTGTTTACAAGTTCAATGGCTTGCAACCTTTCCTGTGCATTATAGTCACCTGGGGAGCTTTTAAACAGCCCAGTGACTAGGTTGCCACCTAAACCAATTAAATTAGAAACTTCCCAGGTGGGACCTAGGCATCTGTAAGTTTTAAAGACTCTCGTGATGTTCTAAATATCAGCAAAGGCAGAGGACCATTGAGCTTGTTAGAATATTTGGGAAAGGGTGTTTCTAAGATTAAAACTTAAGGCTTATGTATTTCGTAAACGCAGCTGCTTTAACAAATTAGTAAACAAGCTAATCCTAGTATCTCTAAAAAACACTAGTTTAATTTTGCCTGGAGCTGCAGTTCTCAATATATTGTCCAGCATATCCTCCATGCAGGGAAACCACTGTATACACCAATACTTATGAGGGAGGATGATTTTTCAACTGCAAATCTTTAATTGCCTTTTAGAAAATCCATCCAGTTTTCCTTAAGCAAGTTTTAGAAAGCACATACACGAGCAATTACAAATCTGGCCTTCAGCCTAACTCAAGAATTAAAAAAATAAAATCTCAAAGTGAAGTTGTATTAATTCTTTTTTTCTCCTTACTTTTATTTCATAAAAATAGACATCTTTATCATAAAACTGGCTTCTTGACATCATTTGGGGCCACTTTCCCTCTGAAAGACAATTCTAATTGCATTTACTTGTTCTCAGAATCATACATTTTTTTAAAAATGAAAATAGTTTGTACACGAGTTGCCAAAGAATGGTCTAATTCAGTGTCAGGACAAAGATGGTCTAATTTTGCATTATTTAGTCATCTAATTAAAAACAAAACTAGTAATAATTTAGCCATAAAGCTGTTCATTGAAGAATAAAAGCAATTGTTAATTAACTTTTCATTGAGGAAAGTCATACATTTTTCATGTTATCATAACATTTCAAAATGCCCTGGGAAATTACAAAATTAAGGTAATGTAAATTATTGATATATTATAACTCTAACAATGAAACATTTTACCCAGGCCTCTAATGAGGATTCTCAGTTAAGGGGAGGAGCAGAGGAATGCATAAACACATGGGAGGTGGGGTGGAGCGGAAACCCAGCTTCCAGGAAGATGTTTTAGGAGAAAACAGATTCCTAAGCTATTTGAGGTACAACAGACCGAAGGCAATGTGCAGTGCAATTTATTTCCCTAAACTTATCTGTTATAAAACTGAATCCTTAAGCTGGTTGTACAAAGTCACACAACTAGTCAGTTAATGTTCTACAAATAGCTCTTTCAGAGATTTTTCTACTAGACTTGTCACCTTATTTAAACCTTGAAACCCCACTCAAAATTGACAGTGAGAGAAACAGACACACACACACACACACACACACACACACACACACCAGGGACGGAGGGAGAGAAAGTGTATTAATAGCTAAAACCCCTCTTGGCCTTGGGAAAGAAACTCTCTACCCTCTGTTAATAAGAAGTGAGAGAGCTGCCTCCTCTTTGAATAAATCAGGTTCTTTAGACAATGTAGAGTTAAGGGCTTTACTCATCACCCTGTTCTCTGGATGCCATGTAAGCTCACCAGATTCTTGTGAAACTACAGAGAATGGATTAGACAGTCCAAAACATAACAGATTGTACTTGTGTTTGCTCTGGTAAGTGGAGCTTTAGTTTGATGTAGAGAAATAAGAGGAACCGGCATTTCTTTCACCTGGACATTATGAAAGAGAGGTATCTGAATCATCCAATTAAGTGAGCAGGAAATCTGGAATATTGTAGGTGTTTTACATGCTCATTCTTTCTTTCTACCTGCTTAATTGTATCTGTGCTATTTCTGTTAAATGCATCTGCGGTGAACTTTGCAGTTGCTAAGGAGAGCGTTTGCCAATTCCATATGCCTAGTCTAAGGTAGGCTGAAGCTAATCTGTCATTCTGGAGAAGCAAGAGAAGCTAAGGTTTTCATAATATTTAGTTGATAAGGGATGAGAACTTTAGATACATGTTATCTCTTACTTTGCTATTTTTCCAAAAATGTATTTGAAACACTGTTAAGCAGAGCAATAATATTTATGCAGCATTTTACATTTTTAAAGTCCTTTAAATATTACATCATGCATCAAAAATTATCGATACCAAGATGTGATTGTCTCAATTTTAGAGACGATAAAATTAAAAATAAGAGGTTCTCAAAATGTCATTATTTTATAATAACTGAACAAAAGTTTTACCTCAACATTTAACATCAAAAACATTTTCATTTTTATTAGATCATGATGTTCTGTTTGCTCGTCACATAAAATATTTTAAAGAGATGTTTGGGGTTTAAACAGATTAAGTATTTCTATAGTGCCTTGAATTAACAAATAAAAGTAAATAATACTAAAACTACACCCATCTATTGTCTTGCTATGAAACCTAGAGGTAAAGTGTATGTGAAGTAAAACAGTATTTTTGAAGTTGTAATGTCTTACCATTGCTTCAATTAAATCGTTACATACACACACACACACACACACACACACACACACACACACACGCACACATAATATATTAGATGATAGATAGATTAGATAGGTAGGTAGGTAGGTAGATAGATAGATAGATAGATAGATAGATAGATAGATAGATAGATAGATAGACAGACAGACAGACAGACAGACAGATAGGCATTTGTGATCCCCACTGAAAAAAACTGGCAAGCTTGCCTAAAAGTGAGGAGAATTATTAAGAAATAGTAAACTACCCAAGGACATTCTGTTCTTTTCCTTACACATAAATATGAACGATGGTGCTCCCCTTTGGTTCCAACTTTCTGTGTTTCATCCCCTATCATGCCACCATTGTGTTAGTGTTTCCCATTTCTCCTTTACATTCAAAGTGTTGCCTGTCCCATTTAATATTTTAATCTGAAGAAATCCTTGGGATGGGAAACACAATGGTAAAGAATGAAGAATCGCTTTTTAAAAATACTGATGATTACAATGTATTCTTAACAAGCTTTGGATGAATTTGTATTAGTCGCCCAAACAGTTCTAAAAAAAATCAGCATAACAGCAAATTTGACAACAATCAAAAACTCATCCTTTCTGAATATGTCCCTGAAAGAAAAGCTCAGCACTGTATGCAACTCCATCATATGGAGCCCAGAACATCTCTTTGTGGATATGTGACTAAAGGCAAAATAAACATCCAGTGTAAAGGTGCAGAGGCAAAAAAAAAAAAAAAAATAGAGTGGTCTATTGGAGGAAATACAGATGGACTGGTATTGCTAGTAGAACGGTGGTGAATGAAGCTAGAACTATAGCCATGAACTAGATTTTTAGAAACCAGTATCCTATACTTGGGGGTTAGATTTCATTATGTAGACAGTAGTTGTGGCAACCTATGGGATTAAGTAGGGTCCAAAAACAAATATGTAGTAGTAGTAGTAGTAGCAGCAGCAGCAGTAGTAACAGCAATGACAACATCTAGGATCTATTGAGCACTTAAAACAGGCCAAATACTGTTTTAAGCTCTTTACTTGTATCAGCTATTTAATTCTCATAGAAATAAGTATCATTTTATCATCATTTTACAGGTGAGTGATGAAGTATCTTGCTACACATTATGGAGGTAGTAAGTAGCAAAGCTGGAATTCAAACAGAAACCAGTGTGCCTTTACACTGCACCACCCTGTATGCTTAGGGAGATCACTCTGTTGGCACATTGCAGGGGGAGAAGGACATTGGAGACTGTATTCACCACGGCCATATATTGTGTGATGGTATATTTCTTGGAAAGCACAATTCGGGAACACCATAGCAGAGAAGGCAAATATTATCAGCCTTCTTTACAGGTTAGAACATAGACTCAGAGTGTTTAAATTAATTGGCCTTACCCTTCTGAATCTTCATACACTGCACTTTCTACCCATCAGAATTACTTATTCCTATTTCCTAAGATCAGTCATTCCAGAAAAAATGAACTTTCTTCTTTTTATGAATTCAGAAGGACCGGAGACAGGTAGGCAAGACGCATGAACACAAAAGTGTCTTAAAATCTCAGAGATACATTCATTTGTGCACTTTCACTTATTCATTCATTCAGTAATCATTTATAGAGTCTTTTATGAACCATGTGCTATAAGCTAGGTCCCGGGAGTAAAAGGCGGGAGTAAGCTGACAATTAAGTTTTCTTTTGTCCATTGAATTTTGTCCAATTCGCAGGTGGTACTTGGTTGGTTGAACCTCCTAAAGTTACCTTCTAGCTCATGCCCCCAACTATTTGCCACTTTACAAAAACGTCACACACACCATAAACTGAGAAAATCATCAGTCCAGGGAGGCTCATTCCTTCTGCGATGAAGAATTCCTATATTGTCGCAATATTCAGCTGACAAGCCATGGGGTAAAACTACTGTGAGCATTTCAACTTCTGATTATACCCCACCATTTTTTCTGATGGAATACAGAGAGTGGCCAAACCAGCAGCCTTCCTTCAGGCCACATTTCCCCAGCCCAGAAGTTCCTAAAATCTTGTGGAGGCGATTCAGCTTTATATTTGACAGTTATTTATATTTCTGGCCCTACAGACTCTGTCCGAGCAAAAGCTTTTCTAGACATATAATTTTAAGGGGAAAATATCAATATTTGAAGAAAACAAGTGTGCTGGAATGTCCCTCTACCTTATGATTCATTTGTTATTCCTAGGGTGTTCTGCAGCAGGTTAAGTGGGCTATTGAACAAAGAAAACCCCAGGAATTCTGACATATTCTATTACCTTAAACTGATCGAAAATCAGCTTTTCTTCTGTTGAGATGAATTACTTGACAGTCAGTAGAAAAATTCTTCCCATGGGTTTCTCCTTTCTGAAACCTTTCCCACCCCCAGTCCTCAGAAATATACTTTGGTGAGTTTCCTCTATCCCAAAGCATTATTCATATAATCCAAGAAAAACTGAAAGAGACTTGAGGACTAATTTGCAATGATCTGAGGTACCTGAAATATTTTATTCATTTTATTTTTATATTTCTTTGAAATAAATACACTTACTATCCTAAGGGTAACTCTGATATTAAAAAGACTCACATTTATTACATATATACCAGAGCCTATATCCCCAAATAGAATTATTTATGAGAAACCTTAACGCAAATAAAGATACTAAGCCCTCGGGGCCTCTTGTGCTTTTATATTTGACATCTCCTCTTTTTAAATATTCATGTAGAATAGCCTTAAGTAGAAACTTGAAGATGTGCTAGTATAAAACATTTTCCTGAGCCACTTTATTGTTGATGGGGTGTTTTCTCAATCTGGATCTCAGTAAGTCTTTCCCTTAAATGAAAAAGGGCTATTTCTCAAACCATGTATGAATGCCAGCATTTGTTCAGCTTCTTTTTTTGTTTGTTTTTTTTTTTTGAGACTCAGTCTCACTCTGTCGCCCAGGCTGGAGTGCAGTGGCACAATCGCGGTTCACTGCAACCTCTGCCTCCTGGGTTCAAGCGATTCTCCCGCCTCAGCTCCCCGAGTAGCTGGGATTACAAGCATGTACCACTGCACCCGGCTAATTTTTGTATTTTTAGTACAGATGGGATTTCACCGCGTTGGTCAGGCTGGTCTTGAACTCCTGACCTCATGATCCGCCCGCCTCTGCTTCCCAAAGTGCTGGGATTACAGGCCTGAGCCACTGTGCCCAGCCTTGTTCAGCTCCTTTAGCTTACTTTAGAGCAGTCACAGGTTGCCACTTTTCCAGCATCAGGGACAAAGTTCAGATCAATTTTATAACACGTCGATTCTAAAAATCACAGTCTCGTGGGAGGTGGAATATCTGTCACAACTCATAACATATTTCCTACTGCTTCATGTTCCATATATTAGAAACCCATTCACCACTAATTTCCCCAAATTTACAAGTTAAGAGTTTAAATTATAGTTTTATAAGTGAATTTATCTACTTTATTTTTCAGGTCATGGATTCTAGCTCTCATATGAAGTAAGGTCTTAATGCTTTTTATTTCTTTACCTTATGTTAAATTTCAGATTGATGAGCTTTCTAATAATATTGAAAGTTCACATTACTACCTTAGTAGAGCTTCCAAATTCAAATTGAAATTTCACTGGGCTGGGTGCGGTGGCTCACACCTGTAATCACAGCATTTTGGAAGGCCAAGACGGGCAGATCACTTGAGGTCAGGAGTTCAAGACCAGCCTGGCCAACATGGTGAAGCCCCGTCTCTACTAAAAATACAAAAAATAGTTGGGTGGCTTGGTGCATGCCTGTAATCCCAGCTACTCGGGAGGCTGAGGCAGGAGAATCACTTGAACCCAGGAGATGGAGGTTGTAGTGAGCAGAGATCGCGTCACTGCACTCCAGCCTGGGTGACAGAGCAAGACTCCACCAAAAAAAAAAAAAAAAAAGAAGAAGAAAAGAAATTTAAGCGAAGATGTGAGTAACTGTATCAGACCAGACTCATTTTTATATGTAAAAGATGAAATGGCGTTTTCTACTCTTAATAAAGGCAAAGATGAACTAATACATAATGCAAAATGAGCACTGGAAGAGATATACAAGATGGGTAAGAGCAAAACTATCAATTTTTGTATTTTTCATTCATTCAGCAAATAATTACCAAGCAAGTCATACATACGTAAAATAGTCTTTATATTTTTTGTCCCATCTCTATGATAGTGATGAAAGTGAATGATTCTTTAAAAAAATGATAAATATTAAATATCGGCTAGATACAAAATATTATCATTGGTGTATATAACCAGAATTTAAGTTGAATCATTGGCATCAAAGATTTTAAATAGTTCGGAAAATTAAAAAATACATTGCTAGTCCCCACTTACAAGGAGCTTGAGAAGAGAAAATAAAAATACCAACAAATCAATACAGAAATATTCACTATAGATCATGAAACTCAATGACCTGTAATAAAGTTTAAGAAAAACAATTTTATATTGCCTTGATAGAATAGCCCAAATCATCAAAGCAGATGGAATTTTCAAAGACAGTATGCTATCATGAGAAAGACATGTGCGGAAACTAGGAAGAAGCTTGTATTCTGAATGTGTTACCAAGAGGTTACAATGAATGTAATAAAACATCTTTTTGTGGTAAGAAATATGGAAAGACAGTAGCTGTTCTACTGCATTAATCTCCTTCCAGGTTAACAGGTGCAGCAGCAGTTGGCTTCAGAAACTCTTGTTAATGCGTTCCTCAGACTGTCCCATCTGCTTCTTATTGTTTGCTCCATACAAAGGCATGTTAATATGTCTACCTACATATCATCATTGTTTCATTTTATTATTTGCTAACTGAACTGTGCCAACATGATAGAAAAGAATCAAGCTTACTATAATTTTAAGATACTAAGACACTTACTAGTAAAAACAATGTTTATCGAATTTAAGACCTTTGTGGACTCATAACAGAGAACTAGTTCTGTGCAACAGGTTCCTTTCACCTCAAGCCATTCAATCAACATTTTAAAAATTCCAATACGATTGCTCCAAGGACCTATGAGAGATACTTTGGATTCAAGGACCTCAGAGTCGAGTGGAAACTCTTTCTTTAAATAGAATGTGACCCAGAAGCCCAATATGAAACAGATGAAGAGTGAGCTATTCAGCTAAAGGAATGCTGATGGTGGTAGTGGTGGTGGTGGGCATCCACTGTCTTCTCACCCTACACATGGCCCTTGAAACACTACTAAAACCCACTAAGGCTCCAGTGAGACTATTGTAAAATTCCCATATATTCTCCAGTTCCTAGTTTGTCCACCAAACCTATCCACAGCTTTTCTTTGTTTTTAACTTTTAAGTTCAGGGGTACATGTGCATGTGTGTTATATAGGTAAACTTATGTCATGGGGATTTGTTGTACAGATTATTTTGTCATCCAGATATAAGCCTACTAACCATCAGTTATTTTTTTTTAATCCTCTCCCTCCTCCCACCCTCCACCCTCCAACAGGTCCCAATGTATGTTATTCCCCTCTAAGTGTCCATGTGTTTTCATCATTTAGCTCCCACCTGCAAGTGAGAAGACACAGTATTTGATTTTCTGTTACTGTATTAGTTTGCTAAGGATAATGGCCTCCAACTCCATCCATGTTCCTGCAAAGTACATGGTCTCATTCTTTCTTATGGCTACGCAGTATACCATGGTGTATATGTACCACATTTGCTTTATCCAGTCTATCATTGGTGGGCATTTAGGTTGATTCCACGTCTTTGCTATTGTGAATAGTGCTGCAATGAACATACGTGTGCATGTGCCTTTGTAATAGAACGATTTATATTCCTTTGGGTATAAATGCAGTAATGATATTGCTGGGTTGATGGTATTTCTGTCTGTAGGTCTTTGAGGAATTGCCACACTGTCTTCCACAATGGTTGAACTAATGTACAGTCCCACCAACAATGTATACGTGCTCCTTTTTCCCCACAACCGTGCTAGCATCTACTATTTTTTGACTTTTTATTAATAGCCGTCCTGACTGGTGTGAGATGGTATTTCATTGTGGTTTTGATTTGCATTTCTCTAATGATTAGTGATGTTGAGCTTTTTTCATATGCTTGTTGGCCGCATGTATGTCTTCTTTTGAGAAGTGTCTGTTCATGCCCTTTGCCCACTTTTTTAGTAGGGTTTTTTTTTCTCATAGATTTGTTTAAGTTCCTTATAAATGCTGGATTTTAGACCTTTGTCGGATGCATAGTTTGCAAACATTTTCTTCCATTCTGTAGTTTGTCTGCTCACTCTGTTGATAGTTTCCTTTGCTGTGCAGAAACTATTTAGTTTAATTAGATGCCATTTTTCAATTTTTGCTTTTGTTGCAATTGCTTTTGGCATCTTTGTCATGAAACCTTTGTCTGTTCCTATGTCCTAAATGGTATTGCCCGGGTTGTCTTCCAGGGTTTTTATAGTTTGAGGTTTTATATTTAAGTCTTTAATCTATCTTGAGTTAATCTTTGTACATGGTGTAAGGAAGGGGTCCAGTTTCTATCTTCTGCATGTGGCTAGCCAGTTATCCCAGCACCACTTATTGAATAGGTAGTCCTTTCCCCATTGCTTGTTTTTGTCAGCTTTGTTGAAGATCAGATGGTTGCTAGGTGTGCAGTCTTATTTCTTGGTTCTCTGTTTTGTTCCATTGATCCATGTGTCTGTTCTTGTACCAGTATCATGCTGTTTTGGCCACTGTAGCCCTGTAGTATAGTTTGAAGTCAGGTAATGTGATGCATCCAGCTTTTCTCTTTTTGCTTAGTATTGCCTTGGCTACTTGGGCTCTTTTTTTTGGTTCCATGTGAACTTTGAAATAGTTTCTTCTAGTTCTCTGAAGAATCTCAATGGTAGTTTAATAGGAATAGCATTGACTCTAATAAATTGCTTAGGATTGCCTTGGCTACTTGGGCTCTTTTATTGGTTCCATATGAACTTTAAAATAGTTTCTTCTAGTTCTCTGAAGAATCTCAATGGTAGTTTAATAGGAATAGCATTGAATCTAATAAATTGCGTTGAGCAGTGTGGCCATTTTAATGATATTGATTCTTCCTATCCATGAACATGGAATGTTTTTCCATTTGTTTCTGTCATCTCTGATTTCTTTGAGGAGTGTTTGGTAGTTCTCCACGTAGAGATCTTTCACCCCTCTAGTTAGCTGTATTCCTAGGTATTTTATTCTTTCTATGGCAGTTGTGAATGTGATTGCATTACTGATTTCTCCCTGTTGCACTGCATGCAACAGATGCAATGGAACAGATTTCTCTCTGTTGTTGGTGTATAGGAATGCTAGTGATTTTGGCACATTGGTTTTGTATCCTGAGACTTTGCTGAAGTTGTTTATCAGCACAAGAAGCTTTTGGGCTGAGACCATGGGGTTTTCTAGATATAGCATCATGTTGTCTGCAAACAGAGATAGTTTGACTTCCTCTCTTCCTAGTTGGAGGCGCTTTATTTCTTTCTCTTGCCTGATTTCCCTGGTCAGGACTTCTAATACTATGTTAAATAGGAATGGTAAGAGAGGGCATCCTTGTCTTGTGCTGGTTTTCCATGGGAACACAGCATTCCTTAAATAGACATGAAGCCCCTGCCCACACCCCAGTGAAAAACAACTCACTACTTCCAGATTAAGCTTTTTATATTTTTGGCCATCTCTCACTGTTACAAAGTTTGTTTGTTTAAATATTTAGTGGACAAAGGGCTCTCTTTCCTTTCTTCTCATCATAATAAGAATATGCTTCATTGCATTTCCACTGATTAGCTGAATATTTGAAAACAGCTAATACGTCCCTAAAATTATAAGTTGCTTTCTAGACAGGCTCCAGTTTTTCAGTGTCTCATTTAAATTATGTTCCCCAGAGCTGAACAGTACAGATTTGGTCTGATGAACTTACTTTTAGTGTCAACAAAGAGGGTGTTCTGGGCACCATTTCAATTACTATACTTATTTGTTTTTCTTGTATCTCTATCATAATGTTAAAGTCATCGTAAACTCTTGTTTTTTTATTTAATACTTTTGGGTGGAGAGAGGGGAATGCTAACTTAAGAAATTATATTTTCCCTATTCAATTTTATTTTGATGTATTAAGCAACTATTTCAGTGCCTAATATGTGCCAGGCATGTGATAAACAGCAGGATGCAAAGTATACATAGTCTACATCTACATGGTGTATACATATAGTCAAAGAAATATTATAACAGTTAACATGTATTGGTAACTTAAGACATATGTATAGAGGAATCTGAGGCTTGGTTTGTGGTCAAGATGGTATATATATAATCCTTGGTTTGTTTGCTTCTTGAGACAAATCTAGAAACAACTAGGCCAAAGTAAACACTATCAACTATTATAATAGTCATGACTCCTTTGAGTATTTATTCTTTCTTCTGGAACTCTGACAGATATTGTGATTTAAGGGCGTAGGGATAGGAAAGGAAAAAAATGAAAGCAAAGAGACAGTGAGAACACTTTTTAGAGCCAGGGCACAGCCTAAGATGAAGAACAAATGAAAGATCTACATCAGCAGCCAAAGGTAAAAATAAGCACTTCAGAAAGAAAACTGATTTTCCACAGAAGAAAAAATATGGCAGACATAATGTCTGATGGCATAGGCTCCAGATGGAATAAGAAATACACAGCTGCAGAGTAAGGCTATCTTCAGTTAATCGAGAGAAGCCTGATCATCAGAAGCATTAGCCAATGTCTGTAAACATATAATAATAAAATAAATGCAGAAATCACTATAAATCTTTGTGTTAATTTTGTTTTATAAAAATAATTCAAGAACTGTTATTTTGGAACCATTATATGTATATAGTAAGGTAATTACCATATAAGCAATTATACTAATGTCATTAGAAACATAGATTTTCAGCGTAAGAGAGAAGAGACTGCAGTTAAAATCAAATATGTTCGTTCCTAATTCTTGATCCAAGTGGTGATCTGAGTGGTAGCTATCTGTGTTTATGGTATATGGTTATGTTATGCTTCAATAACAAAGTGTATTAAAAATAGAAGAAAATGCAATAAAAGTTTTAAAAAGCAAAGGGCAAGAATAAAGATAAATCGTTTCTTCAATAAACAGTGCTTATCAATCACTATTGCACATTTTATTTCACTTAATTTCTCAGAAAAACCTTATTTCTATTGAAAATCTCTGTATCTTCAGGCACTGGAAAGACTCCCACCAATTTAACTGTAACTCGGATGTTGATTTCCTAACACAAGTTCCTCCCATTATTTAATTTACCTAAGGACTATCAGTTACCTTAATGGAAAACCCTTCCACTTATTATATCTCTAAGTTATCTAACAATCATGTCTCTTAAGAAAATATATATTTTTATCTCAAGTAATCTCAAGTTAAGATTACTACCTTTAACTAAAATGTTTATCCATTCAATTAAAATTTATTAAAGTCAGCTTTGCAAATGGTATTTCTTATTTTTCTTCTTCCTTTCATATGTGTACAAAATATTAATTCAACCCAGAAGTGTTTTTCCTCCCTACCAGAAAGGTAATCTTATTGGTTAATTTATTACCTCATTCACTTAACTTCTACATGTTACCCAGATAAACTATTGTAACCAGAACTTACATTATTACGATTGCAATATACATTATTACCAACCTGCTATTTAGGAGAAAAAACACTTCTTAGATATCATAAATGCAGCTTTAACATGCAGAACTGCTTTAAAACAGGCATACAGGAATTTTTTGGGGGGGGATGAGGGGTGTGTTATTTTTAATATGTCTAAAGGTAATACATTTAATGAACTATACAATATTTATAATAAGTTATTACAAATATGTTCATTTTATGAATTTTTATTTTTTCTTAATTATGAAGTTTGTAAGTATATTAGGAAGGTAATAACTTCACAGCAATGTGGCAGACACAGTTGAATGTAACGTACTCATTAATTTTCAAAACAATCCTATGAGATATATACTCTTAAGATTCCTTTTGTAAATGAATAGACTGAGGCACAAAGAAGGTAAATAATTTGCCTGAGAGCATTCAGTGCGCAAAGTACAAGGCACCTAATTTGAATTTGGCTTCAGAATCCAACTCTTAATAGCTACATTCTGATGACCCTAGATCCAGGGACTCTTCTCATCCAATTCCGGTTTTGTTGTGTTTTATGTAAAACACACCACTGTGGGTTATCAGATTCCAATTTTGTTCATTGTCTTGAGGATTTTATCATTTACCTGTAAACTAAACTGAATTCTGCCATCTCACCCATTTTGCCACTCTTACTAAATACTCAATTGTTTAGTTTTCCTTCAATATCGGGCTACATCTCTCCAAATTGATGTTTATAATTTTTTGCCTTCCCTCTTGACTTGACATCACTGAGAATTAAAATCTGACTGCCCAAATCCTTACTGGGACTCCTACAACCTACTGATTCTACTGGGACAACCTACAAGGTTGTCTTGTAGCTGTCTTTCTCCCCCAGGATTTGAAAAAGCCTTGCACACTGAAGCCCAAGAACTTGATATAAACTTCAAAAGACTTACCACCACAACAAATCACGTATAGGCAACCTTCATGCCTGGAGCTCCTGCTACAAGAGCCATTCAGAAAGTCCACTGGAACTCCAGCATCATCCGTGTTCTGTTCCAGGAAATAACTATGACTGTGAAATTAATGTTTATGCCATCACCACATTCAAACCATAAACCAGAAAATCCATCAGATTACCACTCTACCATCTGAAGATGCTTAGAATTCAATGTCTAGAAAACTTCTTAACTGCCTGCCCTCTAGACTCAACAAATAGGATTTATATTCTTCTCCAACAAGTTTTTGTTTTTATGTTTGTTTCCATAGAGGTGCCTCTCATTAAATGCCTGATCACGTGCATCATCCAGCAACTATGCTCTACTAGCAAGTCTCAACCGATGATTTAGCTAGTCCTTAGTAAACAAAAGGCAATCGAATGACAAATGGACTTACACTGTTCAGAAGGATGAATAATGTGTCTTCTTTACTTGAACAGGAGTGAGGCTCCACCAAGACGCTCCCCTTGACCAAACTTTAGCTAGGCTCCTCTGAGCCCTCTTCTCAGCTAGGCCATAACCTTGGCCTGCACAGACCTGAACAAAAAACACTAACATAGCTTCTAACAGGTCAAAGCCACCTCTCTAGGATAACTCTAGCCCCACTTAAGGTGCATTTCTGAGAAAACTCAAAGCTGCCAAAATAATTTACCCTTTGTTCCAGTCAAAACCCGAAGACAGTGAGAAGGCAGGAGCCTAACCTTAAGTGCCATTTAGCAAACGTAGAGGTTTCCCAGGGAACAATCCCACCTTTCCACTTTTTGTAATTTGTTACTTCCCTGACTTTAATGAGCCACCACTCAAACTCATTCTCTCATTCTCCCTTTAAAACTCCCAGTCACCTCTACACAAATCAAAGTTCAGTTCAGTTCATGCTGAACTCTTCTCTATTATAATAGTGTATTACTGATTAAAATCTCCCCTTACTAATTAAACTGACGTCCACTTTTGCTTATCTTTGGATAACTGGTTATTTAGTTGGTTTAGTTTCAGTTTGTGAATGTCATGTGGTCTCAAAAGGTCACATCATATAGATAAAACCGTGCACGCCAACATCAATGAACATGTGAAGAAGGTAAACATGATTATTTTATTGCACCATTTGTAAAAAAAAAAAAAAAAAAAAAAGGTCAATTTAAACGAAGTACTGCATGATTACATTGAACGTATTTACGTATTTGTTGAATAGTATTTTTCCCTTGTAAAATTGTATATGTTAATTATACAAATGTTGGAATCTACAGACCATGGAAGCATAAAATATATATTGCCTCCCATTCTGAGAAAATCCTATTGAAAGATAAGTTATGTCATCACAGTTTTTCTGTTTTTGTTTCGTTTTGGTATGGCTTGGTTTCTGGCTTTTGTTGTTATTATTTTGTCTATATAGGCAAGTATTCATTTATTTCCTGCATTAGTCAAGGGTCTCTAAGGAAATATTTGATTTTATCAACAGCTGAAGTAGGAAAGAGTGCCTGGAATATAATATCCACTTAGAAGTTTTTTATGGTATGGTTGATTCACCCATTCTATTTAACCTCAGCATTCAATTACTCTCACTGCTATTTTTTTTTAAACCTGAATCATACATTTTACATTTAATATACACTCATTGCAAATACATTTAAAAATTCTAATAAGGCAGAGCCTTTAGAAGAATGCTTGACTCAGAAACTCAATAAATCTTTGTTAACTATTGAAGGAAATTTTAATTAAATAATTAATATTCATAATCCCACTCAACAAAATTACTGATTTTTATTAATAGTTTTTTCAATCACCTGTATATTTTAATTAGCATACTGTAAAGAAAGTAATCATTTTTCCTTTTTAAAATAAAAAACACTATGTTATACTGACTTTATCACTGAGATAATCTCAAGCAGTTATTATGAGCTGCTTTTGAGCTATTTGAAGGTACAGTTTTACTGCTATGTAATTTCCAGGCCTATGTACATCTAGGCATAAGATTTTCTCAGCTGTTAAAGCTCGTCTCGTTGCCATTTGTCCCCTCTTAATGATAGCAAGAACTAAGTCATCCCAGTTTTGCACATATTATACTTGCGTTAAGTTCTTTTTCCAGTTATAAGAACACAACTTTAATTTCTTATGGATAATTTCATCTGAACAACACATTTTAGACCGAAACTTCAGTTTCCTTAATAATTTGTACTTTTGATTGTGGGAAAATGACAACAGCATACAATAATAGAATATTATACTTTTCTAGCTGGGGAAGGCTGATGACACAAAAGCATAGGACTACAAAATGGCAAAAAACATGATTATAGTGTATACATGAGTTTTTTTGCAAAGATCTGAATAGAGAAAAGCAGTAAAATAGTCTTCACAACATATATTGAAAAATGCTAAAAATACAATAACTTGCACCATTGCAGCTAGTACTATATTCACATTATAAAAGGCCATTTAATGTATCCAAGACAACATTGGCAGACACATTAAGGTTATGCTTTTGAGTTCTATTGCTTTTCTGTACTTCTGTTTTATTTGATTTGAAAATATGATTTGTTGTTGTAGATCTATATGCCCTTTCACCATAAAGAGTGTGCCCTTTGTTTTATATTCGTGCTTCTATAGGTAAATTTTAATAAAAATAATTTTAATCAGCATTGGTTGAGCATAGGGCTTTTTATTTCTTTAAACTGGCCTGTTTATTACTCAGGTTTGAGTAGCACTACACTATACCAAGCATGAAGCAAAATGTCTTAACACTAGGGGAAGCTGAGCTTGGTTCTTTGTAGAAAAACTCTATCCAGGAGACATGGGGTAGATTAATACAGACATTCACACACACCTCCACACATATGGGAAGGTTGAAGAATTTGTAACATCATCGTTTTATTAAAACAAAATATGTCTCACCACATTGTTGGGTACATGTTACTGATCTGGCTTAATAATATATAGGATTTAACTTCCTGTACTTGATATGCTTGGAGGCAATATTACTGCAGTACAAGCCAGGGCATCAGTTTCACTATGCTTTTGTCAGCATAGAAAGTAGCACTAGAGGACAAAATGAATTTGAACCAATGAAGCTTTCATACAATACCCTGAAGGGTACTAGTGTAAGACAGGGGCAAGAAAGAAACAGTGATGATGTGAGATGTGACCCGATAACTGTCCTTCATGGATCTACACAACCTCTGGAAATGCCTTCTGCCTGCAAGAAGCGTCAGGAGCCCTAGAACATATGCTAATATATATAATTAAGGAGGCCAAAGACAATCATACCACTCTATTCAACGAAATTTATATATTCACATACATACACACATATACACGCATGCCACATATACAGAAATTTATGCATACATGTGTATTGTAGTTTGAGTTTCATAATAAAACTCAAAAGTGAAGACAGTTCACATGCACACGAATTATTAGACACAAAAATTGGAAGGAGGTAAAGGATAATAAAGTGTTATAATAACAGGCTGAAAGAACTATGATTCTGTCTTCTTTATCCCAAAATGAACTTAATAAATTAATATAACCTCAATTGCAAGAGGAAGAACACGTTGAGGTTGCATACTAAGGTGTATTTTATATCTGATGGTTCCATAGCTATGAAAGTCTTGATGATGCCAATGCTAGGCATCCAAATTTGCAGAAGCAAAATCTCTGGTCAGATTGAAAATGTGTTACAGTAAGGAGGAGGTCTAATCTCTCATCTTTTTTCTCTGCATAAATTTTGAGTGTGCTAACCACACAATAAGTAAGTTGTCAATAACTACTGTTTTGATTGATTGTATTAATCCAAATATTGAAATGAGCATGTTTGCTGCTTTACTGCTTCCTTGTTAACGCCTAGTAAATGTTAATTACTAAGTAAAGTTTCTGAATGAATAAATAATCCAGAGATAAATGTTATACCCACACCTCAGGAATGCCCACTGGTGATCTACAAGAGAAGTTGGGGTCAACCAAAGTGTATAAAGGTCATACAGAAAGGACTCAGGAGGTCAATGTAAAGGAGGCTTCCATCGCATAAAGATGAAAAATATGAGGACAATAAAGATCATAATACAGAAGGTGGAGAGCCTCAGTTACATTTAAATATATTTAAATTCATGCATTCGCAGTGATGCCAAAACAAACAACTGGATGATAATAAATAAATAAAATATTCACTGGTGGTCGGGTGCGGTGGCTCACGCCTGTAATCCCAGCACTTTGGGAGGCTGAGGTGGGCAGATCACGAGGTCAAGAGATCGAGACCGTCCTGGCCAACATCATGGTGAAACCCCGTCTCTACTAAAAATACAAAAATTAGCTGGGCGTGGTGGTGCGCGTCTGTAGTCCCAGCTATTCGGGAGGATGAGGCAGGAGAATCCCTTGAACCTGAGAGGTGGAGGTTGCAAGTGAGCCAAGATCACGCTGCTGCACTCCAGCCTGGTGACAGAGCAAGACTCCATCTCAAAAAAAAAAAAAAAAAAAATTCACTGGCAACTTTTGGAAGAGACTAGAGAAGCAATTCATTATTTTGAAAATTGTTCTTTTGGGGGAAAAACTGAAGCATTTACTCTGCTTTGCTTTGTATCAATTATACTATGAGGCAACCAAATAGAAATGCAGAGTTCTCTTTATAAGCCGGGCTCAGTGACTCACACCTGTAATCCCAGCACTTTGGAAAGCAAAGGTGGGTGGATCACCTGAGGTCAGGAGTTTGAGACCAGCCTGGCCAACATGGCAGAATCCCATCTCTACTAAAAATACAAAAATTAGCCGGGCGTGGTGGCGTGCGCCTGTAATCCCAGCTACTAGGGAGGCTGAGGCAGGAGAATTGCTTGAACCTGGGAGGCAGAGGTTGCAGTGAGCCGAGATTATGCCACTGCACTCCAGCCTGGGTGACAGAGCAAGACTCTGTCTCAAAAACAAAAAATCAAAACAAAACAAAAAGTTCTCTTTATAGAACTGCTCCTCCTAACAAATGAAGAAGTAAAAACAGTATATCATTGTTTTGCAACTCATAATGAAATAATCAATCAAAACAATGATCATCAATGGCTGCCAATATCAAACGTTATATACCTTTTGTTGAAAGTACACAACACTTTCTATACAATCATCTTGAGTAAAAAAAGAACAAAATCAAACTGACTACAAGTAGCTCTCTAGACTTAGCTGCTAATTTGTCAGCACCACAGGAGCTGGTGAAACACATTAAACAATATCATGTGGATGTAATCAACAAACCTAGACAAAAGGTCCTGTTTCTTCAAAAATGAAAAGGGAGAGTGAGAACGAGGATGAGGGAGGAGGAGGATGTAGGGTGTGGAGGAAACAGAGACAACAGAGAGAAGAGAGGAGTCCTATAGGATAATTTGGGAAATATAAAATGTATTTGATGATATTAAGCAAATATTTTCCGGGGCTGGGTGCGGTGGCTCACGCCTGTAATCTCAGCACTTTGAGGGGCCAAGGTGGGCGGATCATTTGAGGTCAGGAGTTCAAGACCAGCCTGACCAACATGGTGAAATCCCATCTGTACTAAAAATACAAAAAAATTATCCGGGTGTGGTGGCGCATGCCTGTAGTAGCAGCTACTCGGGAGGCTGAGGCAGGAGAATCATTTGAACCTGGGAGGCGGAGGTTGCAGTGAGCCAAGATCGTGCCACTGCACTCCAGCCTGGGTGACAGAGCGAGACTCTGTCTCAAAAAAAAAAAAAAAAGAAGTGGGGTGGGGGGGTTACTTGGGAATACAGTCTGAAATGTTTAGAGTAGAAGTGATATACTTTCGGGGATTTGCCTCAAAACAGAGAATAGGAAGTGGGTAGGTAGAGAGGAAACCAGATGGTAATGATAATAATGGTTAGAGCTAATGAGCAGTGTATGGTATGCATTATGTTACTTTTTTATTTTGTATATGTTTGAAATTCTTCATAAGAGAAAAAATAAATGGTCCATGTGCACCTGTAACATAATAATGACAAGATATGTCAGCCTAAGAATAAATATGTCTTAAGTTATCCCCTTTACCTCATCTTGGCTTCAAAGTAACTATATGCTTTAATCATTATAGTTTGTCTAGGTCCCCAGAGAGTGTTTTTAGATTTTTATTTGTTAGTTTATGAACTTCAGTCAAGTAATCAGAAAGCCAATATAATAAAATAGTCTTTAACTTTCTGGAAAACATGCAAGCATAAATAACCATCATTTATACTTCTGTAGCAACAGTGACATTGAATCATACTCAAAGCAAAGTATCTAAGATTCAGAGTAAGTAGGATTCTCACTTGTCCAATGCAAAGATTCAGCTACATCTGGTGGGTAAAGGAGTTAAATATTAACTTCATCTTTTAGTATCTATTTAGATCTAATTTGTATAGGGGGTTAAGGATCTCCTGATAAAAATAAAATTAATAACTTAAAACTCTCCATAATTAGACAACATATTAGCTTTCATGCCCATCAAATATGAGGAGCTGCAAAAAGCACAGTGTCAAGGGGTAAGTCTAGTGTTCTCACGTAAAAATCATCTTGCAGATACAGACAGGATAAACTAAATAATAATGAGGCCTAAGATTTGGAGTGGAGGAGGAGTCCCAAGTACACCTTGATGGCTGTTACCTGCACTTACAACCAAAACAGCCATTTTCATGTCAAATGTGTGCCCTGGGATACAAGATCTATGTATACATTTTAAAGAATTATTTTATTACAAGTCACTCTTTGGGGTCCAGCAACTCTACTATGCCTCCTTTATAACAGAGAACAGATTAAAACACTGAGAATGGGAAGTTTCCCCTTGCTGCTTCATGGATGTAAGTTGAGTAGCTGCGACTTCATGCAGACTGAAAGAACCAAGCAAAGCACCAAACAGTGGCATTGAAGAGGTTGACTGACAGTGGTCTAGGGCACAGTTTGAGCTGCAGCACCCGTGGAGGGAAACCTCTGTCTAGATTATCATTAGCGTAGCTGATAGAGGTGAGAAAGGTTCTGGGAGAAGCATCCAATCACAGAGCTAAGTCAAGCATCAGTCCAAATTTCAGAATGTCTGAGTGATAAACATCCTGCAGGGACAATGATGCAAATTGGAGTAGAAAACACTGAAGAGTGGCCAAGGTCTTGCAAATGCACATGGAGATGCTAACAAGCTAGCAAAATCCTGGTATAAAGCCAACACTACCCATGATTACACAGGTTCATAATGCCACAGGCAGTTTAGGTTACAATAAAATTCATGAATTCTTCAGTGCTTGGCTGGGCAGGATATGTACTGAACAAAGCACTCCCGTAGGTACTGAAAGGCAGTGCCTATTCACTAACTGGTGATGTTATTCATCCGTTTCCTGAACCAGGAACATAGGAGCCCCTTTGTCTCCTCTTTCATCCCTCCCAGCCAGTCCATTGCTCAATGTCTAAAATTGGATTCCCCAAGATCAGACTTAAATGACAAATTTGAGTCCATGTAGCTGATTATGATGGAGATCACAGAAAGCATCAACAGGAAGTGAGAAACAGGAAGATCTGTGATGGAGATCACAGAAAGCATCAACAGGAAGTAGAGAAGTGAGATAGAGAAGAAAGGAACACACAGAGTACATTAATGAGCAAGTTATGACTATGGATGACTGGGACTTAATGCCACTGGAGACTTCTAGCAAATGAAATAGACATGCCTCATGCATCCTATTTGAGTGTAAAAAGTTTAGAGTTTTTATCATCCAATTCTCATCTATTATTAACCTGAAGAATGCTGCTTGGGTCTTCAATATTCCAGCACTTCTAGCCTTCCCCGCAGTGGCAAACCCATCAGAGAAAGTCTTCAGGTGCACGCAATTAGATGATGAGACAAAATGGGAGCGCTGAAAGGGTACGGACAGCGTCCACTAGATTTAAAGAGTACCCTACATTTATCTTATAGTGTAGACTATAGCTGTTCTTGCTTTTTTGTACCAAATGACTCATCTTTTTTTCCTTCCTTTAGAAACAAGATTGAAAATGTAATCTCGGTTGAACAGGAAGCATGGAGATAGTTCAACTGAATTGGAAGTTGCTGGTTGTAGAATATTTCTATGCATTCTTCAAGACAGTGCCATGTGAAGCCTCTTCTGACCTGTCCAGTTAGCTTTTATTTCTCTCTCTTTTGTGACAGCACTGTACTTTGCACATCTTATTGTTTCATTCTTCACACTTTTCAGTATTATACTTATCTATCTTCCAGTAAATTCTTCTTAACAGACTATCATTTTCTTGAGAGCAAGAATTGGGTCTTCGTTCATCTTTGTATTTTAGGCATGGAGTATAGTCCCCAAGAACCAGTAAGTGTTCATCAAATGTTCATCTGTTGAATGAATAAATGACTGTGTGCATTGCTGCTAATGATATTCTTCACCATTTTCTTCAGAATCTGCTTATGCTGGTCAGATTAAATGGCTTTACTTGAGCTGTTTCCAACTTTCAAACAGATTTTTTTTTTTTTTCTGACAGTGATTTAACACCACTGAAAGTTTTCAGTTACCTTCCAGTTGTTTTAAAACATGAAATAGCTATTTCTGGTGAAAGGAAATAAAGGAGAAGAGATAGTTCTCACTTCAATTTGAGTTTTGAGAGGATCGAATTGCTTCAGCCCAAGGGGTCAATACTGACAGGTCATCCCTAGCAGCTGGAGAGTATGTCAAGATAATACTCCAAAAGATATTTTTATCCTTCATTTGCTACAAAGATAAATAAATGCATATATACAAAGTGAACAAAAGCTTTGAAAATAGTAAAATGTTAACATAGGATAGTATAGTCACTGTTATTGAATGAATGTTTGTGTCCACCCAAAATTCATATGTTGAAATCCTAACTCCCAAAGTGATAGTATTAGGAGATGGGTTTGGGGCTTTTTGGGAGGTGATTAGGTCACGAGGATGGAGCTCTCATTATTGGAATTAGTTGCCTCGTAAAAGAGAACCTACAGGCCAGGCGCGGTGGCTCACACCTGTAATCCCAGCACTTTGGGAGGCCAGGGTGGGTGGATCACGAGGTCAGGAGTTCAAGACCAGCCTGGCCAAAATGGTGAAACCCCACCTCTACTAAAAATACAAAAAATTAGCCAGGCGTGGTGGTGGGTGCCTATAATCCCAGCTACTTGGGAGGCTGAGGCAGAGAATTGCTTGAAACCCGGAGGCAGAGGTTGCAGTGAGCCAAGATCGTGCCACTGCCCTCCAGCCTGGGAGACAGAATGAGATTCTGTCTCAAAAAAAAAAAAAAAAAAAAAAAAAAAAAGAACCTAGAACGCTCCCTTTCCCCTCCACCATGTGAGGAATCATCAACAAGATGAACGTCACTGAGGAAGCGGGCTCACAAGACACCTAACATGCTGGTGACTTTTGGACTCACCAGCCTCTAGAACTAGGAGCAACACATTTCTGCTCTTTATAAACCACCCAGAAATATAATATCTATATGTATATAGCCACCACCCATATATGTACACACACACAGTTTATCAATTTTTGAAGTGAAATAACATATAAATTAACAAAAATTCTCTCACGTGCTACCACATACATAGATAAAATATGTATGTATTTTATACATACATATATGCATGTATACATACATATACATAAAACATGTATGTACCACATACATAGATAAAATATGCTACCACATACATAGATAAAATACTTGCCCAGATACATAGATAAAAATTCAAGTACCATCAAAGTCTACCTTCTTCCTATCTATAAAGCTATAAAATGAGTGGTATGAGACTAAACAGAAATGTTCTGTGCTTTTTGGCACAAACGCATATTTGTTTATTTATTATGTATGTATTTATAGTGTTTTCATACAAATAGAACAATTTGACATATATATAATAAACTAGAACACATATGCACATATGTATGTACATGTATGTATGCATACATATGCACATATATATGTTCTACTTTTGTGCAATTAATACTACATAACGATCACATTTCAACATCTGTTTATATAAATTCATCTCTTGTTTAAAACTGTAGTATAAAGGGCACAGGCATGGACTACCACCAAGCTATGTCCATTTAGATTACCTATTTTACTATTACCTAGCTACAAAGAAAACCCATGTCCATCTAAACCCTTACTCATGTGAAAACATAAATGAAGGGCAAACTCCTTGAAGTAGAATTGCTATGTAAATATGTAATTATACTTTTAATTTTGAAAGATAATGCCAAATTAATCTCAAGAGTCTGGGCTTGTGTTACTCCATAGTCAATGATGGCGATGGTCCTCAACTCTTGCCTCCAAAATGCATTCATTCTTGAATAACTTTGATCAGATGAGACACTTATGATCTCAATGCTCATTCTCCTACTACTCTTTGGATAACCTTGTTTGACATTTTTTTTTACAGTGTGTAAAGCAAAGAGAAACTCCAAACTCTTTACAAATATGCTTTGCTAAAGAATAAGACCTATTTGATAGCACAACAGGGTAAGTATAGTCAATAATAACTTAATTGTAAATTTAAAAATAACTAAAAGAGTGTAATTGGATTGCTTGTAACATGAAGGATAAATGCTTGAGGGGTGTATATCCCATTCTCCATGATGTGATTATTTCACATTGCATGTCTGTATCAAAACATCTCATGTACCCCATAAATATATATATCTATTGTGTACCCACAAAAATAAGATACTAAAAATACAAAAATTAGCTGGACATGGTGGCGCACACCTGTAATCCTAGCTCCCCAGGAGGCTGAGGCAGGAGAATCGCTTGAACCCGGGAGGCGGAGGTTGCAGTGAGCCAAGATGGCGCCACTGCACTCCAGCCTGGGTGACAGAGCGAGACTCCATCTCAAATAATACTGATAATGATAATGATAATGATAATAAAAATAATAACGAAATTCAGTGGATTCTGAATAAGGCACAATAAGAAGAATTTTCTTTTTCTTTATTTAGTCTTAACACTGAAAAGTCTTAATGAATGTGTATCTACCATGTGAAATTAGACAGAATTTAACAGTTTAAAATATTAATGGAAATATTTTTCATTTAATCTATTTGTTCTAAACAATTGCTAAAATATTTTGGTTACATCTAACCTCACAAAGGCAACCATTTTCTATTACTTTTCTATATTCACTTTTTTCCTATTATTTACTGGGTTTCTTCTGTTATTGTTGTTGTTTTTTCCTTTTTGAGACAGAGGTTCACTCTTGTTGCCCAGGCTGGAGTGCAGTGGCGCAATTTCGGCTCATGGCAACCTCTGCCTCCCGGGTTCAAGTGATTCTCCTGCCTCAGCCTCCTGAGTAGCTGGGATTACAGATGCCTGCCACCAGGTCAGGCTAATTTTTGTATTTTTAGTAGAGATGGGGTTTCACCATGTTGGCCAGGCTGGTCTTGAACTCTTGACTTCCAGTCATCCGCTTGCCTTGGCCTCCCAAAGTGCTGGGATTACAAGCGTGAGCCACCGCACTCAGCCAGTTTGTTAGGTTTTTATTAGGTGCAAGATTGTGCTGTATTTTTTAATCAATAAAAACACAAGCAAGCCACAGCTCCAAGAAGTGTACAACAAATGATTTGACTGGAGAATAATTTTTTTAACTAAATACTTGGTCACACTATATAAGTGGCATGTGAAGAAAAAACAGTCACTTTGGGCCGAAAATTTCAGGGAAAAAAACCCTTATGGAGTAAAAATAACTTTATAGTTTATTGCTGAATGATTTACATTTTTATTGATACAGCTAACTTGTATATACTCAGTGTTAGTTCTTAATCATATTTAATGCCTGTTACACATGCCACATTCCTCATGAAACTATTCATGATTCTTCTCCCCATACCAATAATTTGTATTATTCCATTCTCATATAACATGTTTTCGGTATGCTTTTAAATTGACAATATATTTTAATTTCTCTTATAATTTTCTATGTTCTATGTTCTATAGTATTAAAAGATTCATGACCTAGAGACACACACATATATATATATGTGTGCACACATCCATATATATTTAACTTTATAGAATTCTTGAATTTGACTGAATAGAAAGTGGTGGCCAAGAATATTAAATCTACCTAAAATTCACAGAGGTTTGAGATTCACAAAAGGTCACTTGATTTGGCTTACAGGTTCAGGGGAGAAAAGTAAATTTCATGGAAGAAAATCATAAATATTTGCGAGTAGATAAGGTAGCAGATGTAGACGTTATCTATAGGGAAATCTGACAGCAAAAGGAATGAGAGCTAGGATGTTACATTCAGGGGCCTGAATTACAGTTTGCTACAGATACAATACATCCGCACTTAGCAAAAATTACATTTATAACCTTGGCTTTTAATCAAGGTTTACCATAATGAAAAGCTGTGAAGAACTTGTATGACTCGCTTATAATTTTTTTGGTTTTTTTTAAGATAGGGTCTTGCTCTGTAGCCCAGGCTGGAGTGCGATGGTGCAATGATGGCTCACTGCAGCCTTGACCTCCCGGGCTCAAGAGATCCTCCTACCTCAGCCTCCCAAGTAGCTGGGAATACAGGCATGCACCACGACGCTCTGTTAATTTTTGTATTTTTTTTATAGAGGTGAGGTTTTGCCATGTTACCCTGGCTTGCCTCAAACTCCTGAGCTCAAGTGATCTGCCCACCTTGGCCTCCTAAAGTGCTGGGATTACAGGCATGAGCCACTGTGCCCAGCCTAAAAAAATTGTTATTGATGTCACTAAAAACTGCTCAGGAGGAAAATAAGTAGGTCTTATTGTGATGAAACAATATTTTATTGAAAAAAATTGATCAACATTTTTTATTTAAAAACAAAACTGGGGCTATTTTATTCAGTAATATGCCAGTATTCACATAGCAAGAGTTTTGAGCATAGGCTTTGGAGCCTGAGCATCTAGGTTCAAATCCTGACTTTAACATTTATTAGTGGGACGATGGGTAAGTTCATTAGCATCTCCGTACTTTAGTTTCTTTCCATATGTTAAATATGGATAATAATGGTGTCTAATTCATAGGATTCTTATGAGAATTTAATGCCTGATTATAAGTGAGGTTAGGATGGTACCTTGACATAGTAGCTGTTTTATCATTGTTCTGGATTATTATATTTATTATCTATGCCTATTTTATATACCATACATGCCTGTAAATAAAGTTTGTCTAGGATGCCATGGAAGACCAGAGTTCACCACCTTTGTGGAGATTTGATAGGATTTTCACCATTAGATAATAAGAGCTATATAATGTATGTTTCCTCTTTAGTCTGGGCTCCCATGATTCTTGGTGCCAAACGTTTTGGTTTAAATTCAGTAACTCCAATTGAGCCATATTTCTGTCAAATTCTTCCAAATGTCAACTATATGTGGCTTCTAGTCAATTTGACCTTGTTTTACTGATTCTGATTTAGTGGCAAGATGGTAGATGAATGCAATGGTTTATTCTCGTGATTTTAAATTTAATCATTTGTAATTATATACTTTTAAGACGTAAAGCTTCACCTGTCATAAAACATGCCCTTTATGGCACAATGGTTTTAAAATATGGTCCCAAAACTCATTGGCAAATGGAAAGGTAGGGTCTATGTCCTTTCCTCTTCAATCTGGGTGAGTTTGTAACTACTTCAACAGATAGAGGATGGCAAGAGTAATGTTTTGTGCCCTCCATGGCAGGGTCATAAAAGACCATATGACTACTACCTTGTTTGCTAGAACAGCGTTTGCTTGGAACCCTGAGTTACCATAGAAAATGTGTGAGTATCGTAAAGCCACCATGCTAGGAAGAAGCCAAACAACATAGCAAGTTCACATGTAGGCCTTCAGAATTCCACCCTCCAGCCATTGAGTCCAACTTAGCTTTCAAGTCTTGACAGATGAGGCTATAGATATTGCAGAGCATAAACAGAACATCCCTGCTGTGTCCTATCTGAATTTATTACTCACAGCATCCACGGCATAATAAAGTAATTGTTTTAAACTGCTAAGTATCAGGGTGATTTTATACACAGCAAAAGTAAGTGGGATACCCTGCCAATATGTCTACATATTTCCAAACAACTGAAAACATGCACACCCCAAAATGTTTTCTTAATGAGAAAATACAACTCACTTTTTTATTTCTGTGCCTTGATTAAAAAAAGGCACGTCCACTAAAAGAATGATAATTTTTATTCTGATTATGGGATAAAGAAACATATGGCCATTTGTGACATACAAAAAGTCTACTGGAAGCAAAAAGTGGGAAAAAAAAGCCTTACGAATACCCGTAAACTGGTGATAAATGGACAAACAAAATTTGGTATATCCATACAATGAAATTTTATTTAGCAAATAAAAGGAATGAAAGACTGATACATTCTACAATATGAATGGACCTTAAAAACATTATGCAAAATGAAAGATTACAGACACTAGAGGCCACATATAGTATGATTCCATTTATATGAAATGTCCAAAATAGGCAGATCTATAGAGACACAACACAGAGTAGCGGTTGCCAGAGGCTAGAGGGAGAGAGGAATGGGGAGTGACTGCTAATGGGCATACAGTTTCTTTTGGGGATGATGAAAGTATTCTGCAACTAGATAGTGATGATAGTTGCATAGCTCTGTGAACATACTGAAAAAACACTGAATTGTACACTTCTAGAGAGTGAATTTTACAGTATGTGAATAATATCTTAATAAAGCTGCTGTAACAAAATCCCCAGGATATCCCATTTCTAAATAAACGTATTTTTCCCTTGAGGTCTTCTGATGTTTACACCTCTTTTTGTTGTGCTGTGGCTTTTTGGAAGCAGATTTCTCTGGGTTTGTTCATTTTTGTTTTATTTCAGTATTAGAACCAACCCTGCTTATATATCCTGTCTTTTTTTAAATTTAAGGCTTAACAACAAACAAACAGTAGCAATAATCCCAATTCCCGAGTGATTCAACAAGTTTTATTGTGCAGATGGTAAGAAACTGTTTCCCTCATTGTTTGCTACCAGGAGAAAGGCTGTGAAATAGTTCTTCTGGGTCAAAACATATGGTTCACAAAAATGACTTCCTTTCATCTTGGTCTCTTCTTGCCTTCTGAAAGACCAATTCCTCCTAATTTTAAGTTTACTTTTGGCAAAATGGTCTCATGTATTAATGACTTTATTTGGTTAACAAAGTAACATGTTTACAGGCATGGGAGAGGATAAATGAAGCTAGAAAAAGGAGTACTGAAAATATTAGGTTAATGTGTTATTGTTTTCAAGAGCCATCTATAACATCCTTGAAACTTACACAACCACTGACTAAACATTTTATTTAGAATAATCAGGAACCAGTGGAAAATCTGCTTATCTAGACCTTGAAGCATCATTTTTTTTTTCTGAAAATTTCTTCCTGATTACATCCAGTGGCAGATACTGCTATTTGCTTGTTTGCTTGCCCAATATCCAATAAACCCAGCAAAGAAATAGTTGTCTTGATGGACTATTAACAGCCAACCCACAGTAAAAACAAATTCTAAAAATTTAAAAAGCATAGTAACCAAAAAATATTCACTCCACATTTTGCTTTTTAAACTTTAAAAAATGCTTTTTTTTTTTTTTTTTTTTTTTGAAACCCTGAAAAAGTAGACAGTAAGCCAGCTCCTGGAAGAATTGGAAATCAACTGCATGAGGGTCTAGGAAGCTGAGAGGCTGAAGCAGTCTCAGGACAAGTAGATAGGGAGGAGTCCTTTTTCTCTCAACAACAAAATCGTGATTTTGTTTAGAAGTAGCAAGGTGTCAAGCAAGAACAAAGAGCTCTATTTCAAGCATCTCTGGCACCCAGTCATGGCCTTTTGGCATCTGAGAGGACGACAGCTAGGGATTTCTGGGATAGTTTTGTTTTCCTGATGTACATGCTGCCTCTTCCTTCTTCTTGCTTCCTTTTTCATCTTTCTGCTCTGAAATGTAAGACTTGAGGCTGGAGATGTTGAAACCATCATCTTGCAACCAAGAGTTGACAAGCATGAGAATGATAGTAAGGTGTAAAAGAGCAAGAAGATCAAAGGGGCCTGGGATTTTCATGCCATCACAGGGCCAGTTTCTTGCTTTAGACTCCATTCCTTCAGATTCCATCATATGAGAAAGTTAAAATCCTCTGGTTCTAGTTTCTGCTACTTCGATGCAAAAATGCAATCCCTGGCCTGGCACGGTGGCTCATGCTTGTAATCCTAGCACTTTGGGAGGCCGAGGTAGGTGGATCATTTGAGGTCAGAAGTTTGTGACCAGTCTGGCCAACATGGTGAAACCCCATCTCTACTAAAAATACAAAAATTAGCTGGGTGTGGTGGCGCAAGCCTGTAATCCCAGCTACTCGGGAGGCTGAGGCAGGAGAATCGCTTGAAGCTGGGAGGCGGAGGTTGCAGTGAATTGAGATCGCGCCTCTGCACTCCAGCTTTGGTAATAGAACGAGACTCGTCTCAAAAAAAAAAAAATACAACCCTCACTTGCAGTTCCTCTCAACTGGGCACACCACCATACCCTGGGTACATTTAAGAAACGTGAAAGCACTGTGATTGTCCCCATAACGGATGGAAAGGTGCTCTAAGGACGCCAGACATCCAGTAACACGCAGGAAAGTCCAGGAAAATGAGTAATTGTTTCATGTCCTATTCAGCTTTTGAAAAGTAGGGGACAGCCTGTTTATAAGTATGTGAATATATAGAACCTAGCTCAATTTTACATATAAATACAAAGTCTTTATATGCACTGCATTTTCCAAGAATGAAACTATCCCACAATAAATCAAAGGGAAAATGTGCACTTATTTTATTCAGAACTTTACCAAATGTTATTAATCATACAGAAAAATCCCATTACTTTAAAATATGCTGTTCATGGCATTTTAATCATTCATACCACTCACCTGCATACGTCAGCATTTCGAGCTGTCTACTTCTGTGGTTTTAGGTACAGGTACTACATTTATCTAGAGCAGTATGTACCTTTCTTATTTTCATATTGAATAATTAATTATTGATGATAAATATATCCATTATTTTTAATTCATTATTGTCCTTTGATTTATTTTTTACAAGGTAATTGTTTTAGAATTTTATATATATATGTAAGTTACATTTTTGGTAAATTCTCTTTGAGGATAGTAATGGGAGTATTACAAAATATGTCTTACAAAAGAGGGTGTTCAGTCTTACAGGGTTAAAACCTATACGGTACATAGAAGAAAAAAAGTTTTTAAAAGAAACACGGTAGCCTGGCGTGGTGGCTCACACCTGTAATCCCAACACATTGGGAGTCCAAGGTGGGGCGGATCGCTTGAGGTCAGGAGTTTGAGACCAGCCTGGCCAACGTGGCAAAACCCCATCTCCACTGTTACAATAAAAATACAAAAATTAACCGGGCATGGTGGCACACCCCTATAGTCCCAGCTGCTCAGGAGGTTGAGACAGGAGAATCGCTTGAACCCAGGAGGCGGAGGTTGCATTGAGCCGAGATCATGCCACTGCACTCCAGCCTGAGTGACAGAGCAAGACTCCATCTCACAAAAAAGAAAAAAAGAAATAATGTATACATATTTAGAAAATAAGATAATACACCCAATTGATTAAATTATGATTTTCATCTGTAAATGTTCCTATGCCTTCAGATGTTTATTTTAGGACTGTGGCCGACTTGGTTCTAAAGAAGATGGATCACCAGGTCATTACAGGGCTTTCCTTCACAATTAGAAACTAAATATAAGACTCAACCCAGAGTAATTTCAGAAAAAAAATAAAATACCAATATAAGGTGTATTGTCAAAGATAATTGTGCTCCTGCAGCTTTTCTGTGTATAATAGACTCTTCCTTCCTTGTAGCAGCTTGCCTAGATTGTGAAAAACATGGTGTTTGACCCTTAGAAAGGTCAAAGACTTATATAAGATATATATGTATATATGAGCATATGTATGTGTGATATATATATATATCACACTGATATCTATATATGTACATATATCAGTGTGGGAAGGAAATGGAGGAATAGAATGTTAATTGGAACAAGACTAGTAGTAGCTGATTAGTTCTTCATTCCACTAAACATAACGATGGGCAAATATCTAGCTGCTTTAAGTCTTATTTTATAAATTGAATATCAAATACTAAAGAAAAAATACATTTTCACAGCCAGGAAAAACATAGAATTTTTTTCAAATTTCAAAATGCCAAGTAAAACTTGAGAGGAAATACCGAGCAAATAAGGAACTTTGTCCCAAGGTATGGAAACATTGACAAAACTATTACCAGTTATAGCTGACCTTTACTGGGTAAAACCTGGATAAACAGGAAAAACTTTAAGAGAAAAGTCTTCTTCAGTGGGTCAAATCCCATGGTTTTCATGAACTGGGCGGACTGCTACAGGGCAGGAAGAGTTTACTACACAGAGAAAAGTTGTGGGAACACAATTATCTTTGAAGAACTCTTGGGCCAGTGTAGGCCCCGTGGTGCCAGTTCCCTGTGCTAAGAGGCAGCCAGGGATATATACCTCACCCTTTGCTATATAGCTGCCTTGCTTAGAAACTTCTTCTAAGAGAAATGCCTTATCTTTTCAGATTTATATTAAATATTTTCCAATTCTATTTCTGCCTTTATCTCAGGAAATTCCAAGTGAGTATGAAGCTCATGCTCCCTCCCTAAAATAGCAAAATAGCAAGCTCTTTGCATGGATTTTTAAAAATTTATCTTTTTTTTTGAGACAGGGTCTCACTCTCTCACCCAGATTGGAGTGCAGTGGTGCAATCTCGGCTCGATGCAACCTCCGCCTCCCAGGCTCAAGTGATTCCCCCACCTCAGCCTCCTGAGTAGCTGGGATTACAGGCGTGCGCCATTACACTGAACTAATTTTTATATTTTTAGTAGAGACGGGTTTCACCATGTTGGCCAGGTTGGTCTCCAACTCCTGACCTCAAATGATCCACCTGTCTGGGCCTCCCAAAGTGCTGGGATTACAGGCATGAGACACTGCGCCCGGCCGTATGATCTTTTTACAAGGTTTCAAGTAACAATTTTATTTCCTTTGCTTCAAAATTTCCAACTATTGCCATTCAAGTGCTTTCCACTGATAGTCTGCAAATACACAACCCTTGAAGAACTCATTGTAACTATGGCCAAAAGAGTCACTGTTTTAAACACAATCTCACATAAAGAAGACTTAAACTAGGTGTACTAGTTGACTCCATCTAGAAAATTATTTCTCCTAGACAGAAATCTTAGATTAGGCAAATGTGACTGAGCTAAACAAAGTCTTTATAATTTACAAGTTCTTAGGGATCAATTCTTAATTTTGTACAAAACCACAATTACCAACATATGATCTCCAACTCTGACAATGGGGTCTTATTTTTAATCTCCATTATAAATTGGCAACAGAAATCTTCTCATCTCATTTCAGTAAAGTTGGCTTTGCCAAAATAAAGAAACTCTCTTTGAACCTGAATCAGATGATGGATGTACAAGTCACTTATTTTCTGGGCTTAGAGTTACTCTGGAGAGTAACCAATGTTTAATTTATCAATGTTCCTAGAAATTAATTAGTTTAACATGACCTACTGTTGTTACCAAAGTGTTTTTCATACTAGGTAATACAAATTGGGCCTGATTATCTAGGCAATTGTATTTAATTTTCTGTTTTGGTTCATGGCAACCAAATTGGCACTTATAACTTTTTCCCTTTTGTCCAAAATTCCATTGGAATGACGGAAGGTATTCATGTGTTTAGAGGAATAAAATTATAATCAACCTAGAAAACAAGAAAGCAAGCAAGCAAAAGACCAAGATACTGGTGAAAATACTGAAAGATGTAGATGGGATCTCACTGGTAAAGAAAACAAAGAAGAGTCAATAAAACCACAAACACCAGGAGTAAGAAGAAGCTTCACACCTTTGGTTGACAAATAGTGTACTTCAATTCTGCTGGCTGTTGTAAAGGAGATTACAGGATACCTGGAAGATATATAATGGGAGAAGTAGTCTCATATAGAAGCTATTGTGGGTTTGGGTCCTTTAGAAATTTCTCTGAGGAAGAAACATTAAGTTGTGGCCTAAAAGATGAAAAAGGAGGCTGATAGTAGTCCTGTATTTTAAAAGAAAATCAGTATCACCGTAATTTAGGGAGGGAGGTTGGAGAGAAGTGGAAAATCAGAAAGAGATAGCTGTTAAAAGGTAGAGCCCTATAGGTTGTGGCATAAACTTTACAGTAATGGACAGCTATTGAAGAGTTATAAACAACAGTCAAATAAATGTTGTAAAAACATTTATTCCATTTGCCATATTGAAAATGGGGTACAGGGGCCAGGCGAGGTGGTTCACGCCTGTAATCCCAGCACTTTGGGAGGCCGAGGCGGGCAGATCACTTGAGGTCAGGAGTTTGAGACCAGCCTGGCCAACGTGGTGAAACTCCGTCTCTACTAAAAACAGAAAAATTAGGCTGGTGTAGTAGCAGGCGCCTGTAATCCCAGCTACTCGGGAGGCTGAGGCGCGAGGAATGCTTGAACCCAGGAGGCGGAGGTTGCAGTGAACCGAGATCGCGCCACTGCACCACTCCTGCTTGGGCGACAGAGCCAGACTCTGTCTCAAAAAAAAAAAAAAAAAAAAAAAAAGGAGTAAAATGGAGTACAGGGTATTAGGAAGAATATATAAAGTACAATAAGATAGACAAATGCAAGTTTTATGCACAAATGAACATCGTTAGAACTCCGACACAATGTCTTCTTCCCTTCAAATGTCTTCACTTTTCCATTCCCACTATCATCCTTCAGCCTAGTCTCTACCACCAGTTTTACTGACGCGTCCCCCAAACGGTTCCTTCACCCTCTTCTCCAACCTGCTCCCAAGTATCCTTCATAGTACAAGGAAACAAATTTTCCGAATCATAATATTTTTCATTTCATTTTTCTGCTTAAAAATTTATCATGTCTTCATATTACTTATAGATGGAGTTTGAGAAAATTATTAAATCTATTCCCCACCTAGGTTCGTAATCAATTAAGCCGCACATATAGGAGTCAGACGAATAGAGATGAAAATATCTCCTTTACTAATGATAAAGCTGTTATCAGCGAACATAGCATTAAGTCTTCTTATTATGTATGTTTGCTAATAATTTGCCTAGTGACATCCATTAGTAAGCATTAAATGGAAGAAGAAGCATTCCCTATATAATTTATATCATGGGGGCTTAACCCCAATTTAAAGAGCATGAAGCCATACCTACTCAATTCCTCCTCCAAAAATCAGGGTAGATGGTTCATTTCTGCTTTCTTAATTGGAGTACATGGAGGGACAGGGAAAACGGGCAATATTATTACCCTAGCGTAGTTCTCTCCACAATTGGATATTTGAAACAACAAGCAAGGAGGGTCCAAAGATTTAATTGCATATACATTAACAGTTTTTGTCTCATTTTCAATATTCTTTAGAGTTTGCTTATTCAAACTTCTTGCTAATTATCATCACAAGCCGCTATTTCTGTCATTTTCCTTGTGCTGTCCATATTACTTGCCTCTTCTTTTAACTCTAGTACCAAGATTGACTGATGATAGGCCATTCAATCTTTTCCAAAGCCGAGGTTAGCATGCTTAGCTGAATGAGTTCGGGCAAATTTCAATTTTATGCGGTTCATAGCAATAGCCATATTAACTAGTATGTTTATTTGTCTCTAAATAAGGTTTAGGTATTCTGAAATGTCTCTCTAGCACTGGATTTCCAGTTAATGAGCATCTCACTAGAAATTTATATTGACAACAACCTTATTAATATTAATCCCCTAGCATTTGCAAGACTAGGACAAAATTTCAGATATCATTTATATGATATTTTTGAAGACATTTTATAAATACAACAAATATGATGGATTATTTCTATTACTATAACTAAATTATGTTTTGAAATACCATACTATTTACTAAGAGCTATAAAATGTGATAGTATCCTATAAAATTAATATCTCAATAACTCTAAAACATGTCAGTTGAAAATAGTGCATATATATTAGTGTGAATGTATGTGGGGGTATGTCAAAAGAGAATCTCCTTAATACAAGCCTCTGCTGGAAATAAAAAATAAAGAAAAAAAGCAGAAAATGAATTATTTAATAATTTCTAAGATGTTCTCAGGTGCCAACACAACAAATCCTAATGAACCCAGGGTTGATTAAATGCAGATAAAGAAGATATGCATTTTTCAAATCTCATGAAGAGAAAAAAGATTTTTCTGTCGATCATTCTCTAATTAAAGTATTAACGGTAAGATAGAGACTGTATTCCCTCTTACTGGAAAGATAAACTGTATGTTTCTATAATATATGTCACCCTAGCAACAACACACAAAGCATCAACTGCCTTTAATAAAAACTGATTTTATAATTAAAGGAGCTAACTGTTGAAAAATAGTCACTTTTTATAGACACTTGAATATGAAAATTGGTTTCTCACACCTCATTATAATACTAAGTGCAAATTAGTATAAGCCTTTGCTCATCCATTCCAAGTAAAGCAGAAGCACAGACAGATCAACCAACCTAGCACTGTACATGACACGTTGTAGGAATTCAACTAGTTCTGTTAATTTAAATACCTGCAATAGTTTTTATTATATCTGCACTATGGATTTTTAAAAAATATGTAACAGCAAAAAAACTACCAAGAATATTTATAATATAAACAGTTTTTTAAAAATATTCTTTCTCATGAAAAAGTCTATTTAGGAACTTCTGGTAAGGGTAAGATAACTTCGACCCATTTTTCCCTTCCTCTTCCCACTAAAACAGCAACAAATGCTGGTAATAATGCAGGAATAAACCCAAGATAACTCTGAAGGTAGTCAGAAGAAGACGACGGAGTTTTGGTTTACTGGGTCTGGAGCAGAAGTTGAGTGACTTACATCTTTTCACTTAATAGAAGCAAGTGACCCAGACTCACCATTTCGAGACCCACAACCAGCAGTCGAAAGCAGCCTAGAAAGGCTTATCTCTCCACATCTAAGAGGATTCCCTGAGACAACATCAGGTTCTCCTGACACTTTCTAGGACAGGATGGGTAGATGCAATCCAGAGAATTGCCAACAGTAAGGGGAAACACTCTCTGTTCCTGGTGGGCCTGCTTCAGCTCTCATCCACAGATACCTGTGAAGGAGTAAAGGATGTTCCATCCCCAAATATGCCAGATTGGTATGTTGGCTATTTTCAGTTGGAAACTTTGGAGAAATTGTAGTTTCAGAAAGAGTTAGCTCACCTGTCTCTTCCTACATGCAGCAAACCATAAAGATTCCTCTGGGAGGGGCACCCTCACAGGACCAGAGTGAGAAAATAGCCCTTATTACCAGAGACTTAGAATTGGAGGCTTCAATGGACCTGAATAAATATATTTACTGAAGTAACCCTTATCTTTCACTAGTTTTATACCCACTATCTATCTCCTAGTGACTCCCCTAGAGAAAATTTACTGTCCCTAGCCAGATTCTCTTTATCCTGTCATTGCTTTCCAAATTCATCAAATTCATCATTCATCATTAAAAGCATCTTGCTTTGACTACTTCTTCAGGCTTCACTTTCTTGTGATGATCTCCACGTACATGTATAAGTAATACAATTTGTATTCTTTTCTTTTGTTTTCTGCCTGATGTCGATTTGGTTTCTAGATCCAACTGAAGAGCCTACTAAGAACTAAAAGGGGGATTGGAGGTGATATCCAATTCCCCTACACCTGCACATGTGATGAAACTGTACAGAACTAAATACACACACACACACACACACACACACACACACACACACACACACACATATAGGAACACCGAGAGAAACTGAATAAAATTGCTGAATTGTAGTAATGTCAATATTCTGGCTGTGATATTATATTATAGTTTTGCAAAATATTAACTTTAGGGAAAAAATGGTAAAGTGTACATAGGATATCCGTATTATTTCTTATTAACTGTATATGTATCTACAATTATCTCCATAAAATGTCAATTTTTTTAAAAGTCAATTTTGATTTTTTTATTTTCTGTTTGGATTTCACTAGATGTTCTTATTGATTTTATTCACTATATAATTGAGAATCATCTTGCTCTGTGTTTACTCAGAGCAAGCTGAACTTTCAGCAATCTTATTTTTAAAAAATGCTACATGATATGACCTTATCAGCAATTTACTAAGTTATTTGAATGGACTTTATGGACATGAACTTATCTTCAAAGCGTCTTTTCTGTTTAAAGCTATGTCCTTTACCGTTTTTTTTAAACTGGAAGCATTCCTTCCCTGCCAGCTAAAGAAAATTCCATGTTATTAAAAATGGTGGTTCTCAGCCATAATTAATACACATAGTTCATAACACCCATTTAAAATTGGTAATGTGTTTATAAGAGAGGTGAGACATGCAAGAAAAGAAGTGGTACCAAGTGATCACCAGAGACACATGGAGTGTGTGAGTGTAGGAGAGTTATTTAACCTCTGTGCTATTTATTTATTTACTTATTTGAGATGGAGTTTCCTTCCTGTTCCCCAGGCTGGAGCGCAATGGCGCCATCTCGGCTCACTGCAACTTCCGCCTCCCAGGTTCAAGCGATTCTCCTGCCTCAGCCTCCCAAGTAGCTGGGATTACAGGCACCCACCACCACACCCGGCTAATTTTTGTATTTTTAGTAGAGACAGGGTTTTGTCATGTTGGCCAGGCTGGTCTCAAACTCTTGACCTCAGGTGATCCACCCGCTTTGGCCGCCCAAAGTGCTGGGATTGTAGGAGTGAGCCACCGTGCCCGGCCCACCTCTGTGTTTTACTTTCCCTATCTATAAAAAGGGAAGTAAAAATAGTATCTTCTACTTAGGATAGTTATGTGCTATAATATGTGAAGCCCTTATTTCAGAGCCAAGCATATAGTAAGCACTTCCATAAATATTAATTATTATTATTACTCATGGAACATAATTGATTCCCATTAGAATTTGTAGGAGTAAGGAGGTAACACTTTAAATCTACTTTGTTCAGAGCTGCTTCTCGCTGGAAACCTTTTAAGTAGTGTTTGTATCACCTTTTCTCCTAGCACTTACATAGTGTACTGCTTGTGTAATTAACTCCATGGATAAAGAAATATCCTTCCCCTTCCATTTACTAGCTTTTTAATAGTGCAGCTTCAGGTCTTCCACTAGAAATATTAGAATTGTCACTTAATTTTCAACCTCCCGATATTTAATTGAAAGATGTACAATATAATTTAAAAGGTACCTACCCATAGGGCAACTAATTCTGAAAACGGGTGATAAGTGAATAAAGGAAGTATGCTTAATTTCATTTTCATGCTTTCGCAGTTTCTATCTTATATTGATAAAGAAATCCTAAGCTCTACATCTGTATAAGAATGTATCATCCTTTCAATATACTTGTATCTATATAAAATGCAGATGTGTATATTCTTGTGTGTGCATACACACATGCACAGCTATAGAATATAGATATTTTAATTTAGATAATTTTAGGACTTTACATAAAATGAATCACATATGCACTATTATGATGTTTTCCCCAATGCAAGATAATATTTTCTAAGATTTTAGACATAAGATGTATTTTATCATGTACAATGCACTCTAAAACTTACCAAGTTTCCATTTACAAGGGAAAACGATTAAAACCACAAATTGCTATAGTTAAGAGTTTGGGATTATTTTATTTTATTTTACAAATGAGAGCATTCATTTCTGAATACCTACCATAACACATGCATACATCTGTCAGAAAAAAAAAATCATATTTAGAATCCAAGTTTACTCCCGGAGAACCTTAACCTATTTCAAAAACATCTTTGGGAAGATGTCAGGAATTTTCACAATTTCTATTACACTCTTCTGATTTGAGTCAAAGAAAATAATTTTCAACATAATAGGACAGCCCAGGGAGGCGAGTTTCAGCCAGTTGCTGTGGAAAAACCAGAGGCAGTCGCTGTCATGCAGCTGCCAACACCACAGTTGGGGGCCTTGCCAAGTAGACAGATGCCAAAACAGAAAAAATAGCTTATTCCAATTAATTGTTGAAACCTATAAAGGTAAAACACTTCATGTGTGGGCCTGACTACAGAACTGCTTTGTCCCCCAAAGGCATCGTGTATTTGCTTTTCATTGTGGGGGTTGCTAGAAACATAGAAATAATATTATTAAAGTATAGAAGATGTCCAAGGAACATGCATCTTTCCTCTAGCAAAGAATAATTTAAAATTAAAATAAGTATTATACTTATTACTTTTCTAAATTGCGACTTCTCTCCATGCCTCACTTTCCCTCTCTGTAAAATGGAGATAATAGCATCACACTGCTATTTTAATGAGAAAAGTGAAATAATACATGTGATGTACTTAATGGTGCCAAGTAGTTAGCATACATCAAACATGAGCAATTATATTATTCCTATTATTATACCAAGTTAGTTAAACTTGTATTATTTTACTACTAATATTTGTATTACTGCACTAAGTTAGATAAATCAAAACCATTGTTAAAGCTGATCTAGAAGTAAGTTATTAGACATTTCTGTTTAGGAGATATCAGTTACTTAGAAATTTAGTTACTATAAATAAGTCTTACATATAGAAAATTACCTTTTTTTGGTGACTTTAGAAATTTAGGGCGTAAGAAATAACTTTTCAAAGAAAAAAATTATGTCATCATTTTAAAGAGCTCTCTCAGTGAGTATTAATTGTGTTCATAGCTAGATAAATGTGTGCACACACAACACATTACGGCCAATTCAAATTTTAAAACAATGCCATTATAGTGGAATTTCATCCTATTCTGTATGGGATCAAAGCATCCAGAGGTCTAAAAAACATTAAAATAACCAATCCTCTAGGTGCTTTTTAAGTTTTCAGTTAATTTGTCTTATCTACATTGAAGCAAACAATCTAAAACTTGCAATGGATATCTGTGAAGCATACATCAAAAGAAAAGTATAGTAGCTGTTAGTTCAAGGAACTGAATGATAGAGCTTCCAATTAAAAATACACACATGTGTTGTTTATCTTATTTCAGTGAACTAAAAGGTTATTTGCATTTCTTGTAAAGTGTGCTCATCCCTTTAAGTTTCAGTGAACTGTTTGAGAAGACATAGGGAATGGGAATGCATTTTATTACAACCTTTCCCTTTATTTGGAAAGATTATTCGGTAGCTGTTTCTGAAATGTCTAGTACTACTGTGAAAAACTAGTACCCACAATATAGTTCTAGAAACAGAATAGACAAAGTTGCTTCTGATATCTTTCTGTCTACTAGTCAGGAATGCAAGACAATTTCAGATCAATGATCCTTCTACTATCAAAAGTCATGGGACCTAAGGATCAAGATCACTTTTATTTTTGCTCCATTTGAATTATCCAGGCAAAACCAATGACATAAATGAGGCCTTACGTGACCTGACATCCCTATGCCTGATCTAGCAGGACTGTGACATCAACAGTAAAGCTAGACGGATCAAAAGGTGCCTCCAATGCCCGTGTCAGCGTCAGCTTCAGCAGAAGCTCCCCACTTGGCATTCCTGCTTGAGTGCTTTGCAGTCCTGGCATGTCACCTAACTGGCTGGTGCTTCCTAATAGGCCCTACACCACTTCTGATTGATGTGTGAATATGCAAACCTTACTGGAATCCAGGAGCCAGATGGCCCACATACCAAGTATAGCAGCCAGACAAAACAGAGGCAGATTCAGCAAACTGTTGGAGAGTTACATTTTTGGTGATTCCTACAGACACCTAAGTATACATAGTCCTATTTAATTGATTTCATTCCATGTTAACCCACAACAATAGTGCCTCTGTCATTAAACTGCCACATTCTAATTAAAGGAGAAAATTCTTTCTTTTCTCCTTTCCATTTAGCATGAAATGAAGGCTTTTATAATCAACCTGATTCTACCCTGCTACTTGTAGAGGCTGTCATGTAGTCTCTAAAGGCACAGGTGAACAAAATCTCTTTGCTGCTTCTCTAGGATAAAGCAGTCACTTATTTCTTTCATTAAACTTAGATGAATTATTTAAAACAAAAGCCATAACTTGTATAAAAGAGTGCCCAGATGAGGGTGTATCCTCCCTGAGTGAGTAATATCTAGTATATATCAGCCACACAATAAAAAATGATGAAAATGGTAAAAATTATAAAATGATAAAAAATGATTAACAAAACACAGGAAAATCATATATACATATATATGTGTATATATATATATAAAATCACACACAGCATGTCTCATAATGAAAAGTAGAAGTTACTTAATATCGGTTTTCTTTTTTTACATATGTAAAATATCATTCATGGGTGTACTTGTGTGTGTGCACAACCACATTGAATGGAGACATTTCAATTAGAACTTCTCCGATAGAAGAAATTTAATCCACAAATAGGAAAAGCAGTATATCTCAGCGTTAATCACTTATGCCTTAAAAATAATCATGATAGCAACCAAAATTCTTTCTGGAATCTGAATCAGCCACACACATGTGTTTCTGACTTTATTCATTAAGATTAGCAGCCTTCCAGAAATCACTAAAATGGAATCTTCAAAAGCTCCAGTTCAAGATCTGGAGATAAAATGAAAGTCTGGTGATCCTTTCCATAGACTCTGAGGACTTTCTTTACCGTCTTAATGTCTTCAATGGAAAAACGACCGTGTATGACAAAATAATAAGTTTGCTTCCTGAGCTTGAAATGAATGGCTGCCTATCAGATCCACTCTGAGCATATCACTTCAGGCTGTCAGGCCAGCCACATTGCTCACAATTTCCCTTTGGGATAAGCTAATCCTAAAATCATTTTATAGTTTGGATAGTTTCAGCATGAGATATTGATGTCTTTGTAGAAGTTCTATTGCATAACATATACATGGAAGACTCAAGTTATACGGATATGTATGTACTACACTAATTGTGTAGTGTGACTATGTATGCATTAAGAATTTTAATCAATTGTGTAAAGGGAAGCAAATGTTCATCTTTCATATCTCAACCAATAGTTTTGGTTCTCATGGAAATCAAACATTACCTTTTTGTAATAAAATCAGTGTTTCAACAGAAATATATTTCACAATGAACCTTGTTTATAATGACCATCTAAAATTTCTTTAAGAGATGGGCATTACAGGTCAAAGATAATCTGTATGAAAAAAATACATAAGATATTATAAAATGTAGCTTAAACTGTTGTGTATTAGGAAAAATTTAATACAAATTCTGCTATAATTCAAAAAGAAAATAATGAAGGGAAATAAAAGAAAAGAATAAAGTGGAACAAAATGTGTCACATAAAACAACATATACCAGGGTAGGGTACTATAAAGTTTTATTTCTACAGCTTTGAAAGAAGCTAAAAACTCACTTGTGACTCTGTAGCTCATGAGTAATGTGGTCATTTCAAACTTATGGTGATAAAACTTTATGGCACTCTAGTTCAGAACATATGTCAAACAGAGAAAAAAGTAAAAATCAAAATGAAATGTGACAAAACACTGCAAAACCCTTCTCATCTGACACCACTATTCTGGTTTTGTCTGGGAATCGGTGGTCAATTTCATTTTGAAATTTCTGTCTCAGAGTCATGTAGCAACTTAAATGACTGCTCTGATTAGCATCAAAGTAAGTGTAGAAAAATGATTTGCTTTCATCATGATGGTGTTAACAATATGTACTTCAGAAAATGTCATCGTTAGTGTTGCTAAAGTAAGAACAGAAGCATAATTCCTGCAGTTAAATTCCAATCTAAGATATTTGACCTTCACACGAAAAGAATGAAGACAAAGCCTTTCTCTTTTAAAAACTATTTTTATGGAATATATTAATTTTAGAGAAAATGTCATGTCTTTACAATGAGAGCTCAATATTTTCAAATGATGTGGTTATATATTAAATGAATACGTTCATTTTCTTACCATTAAATTTTTGGTATTAGTTCTGGGAGGCCATAATTTTTCTACTTAAATTTTTGCCTGTATATAAAAAGTACTTTGTGTAAATAGAGTCCAATTTGACTTTAGTTTATTAGTATTAATTAGTTGTATTTTGTCACTTGGACAACTTGCAAAACTTTGGTGTTATTCTGATTGTCACTCCATTTTCTTAGCTGTAGGGCCAGAATCTAATTAATCCTATTATTAATAGTTGTCTAATTTCTCACTATTCTGTTCCTTAGCCTAAAGGTTTCATAACTCTGTATGAAAATGAGAAAACCTGTCATTGATTAATATATGTTTGTTTTTGTATTAATTGTGCAACTGCAATGTTACTGCACATAGAAATGTAACTCCTTGATTGAGGAGCACATTGCCACACATGGAATCTCCAAAATGCCAAGTGAAAATCACCACTCTTAAGAGTTTATTTCAGAGTGTTGACTAAATTGTTTGGGGACTTCTTTGCCTATAACATAAACTTAAGAGTTTTTGAGGTACTTGTTTTCCTTTTAATCAAATACTTAGGGAATTATAAGTGTCTTCTTAGAGACCATGCTTTCATGCCTAGCTACAGTTGACCAACTCTTTTAAAAAGCTTTGTCTCCTGAAATAATAATAGGAACAAACTCAACATTTCTAAGAGAAGAAGACACCGTTATCAACTGAGTGCAGTGTAATTCATCAGTCATTGATAAAATCATATTCTAGATTAATCCAGGATTCATTCAATTATTTCTACCAAATCTCTTTCCCTTCAAGAGAGGGAGTGGAGTTAGTTGTCATCCAAAATGCTAATCCAAAATAATAAGGGCCATTTAAGAGAAGTTATTGAGTTGCTTTAGAACTTGTAGATTCTATGCTATGCTGTCACTGTAAGTAGCATTATTTTAGAAAATAAACCCCTAAACCTTAATTTAACATGAAATGGTTCATAACTACAACCACCTGAACTGTGATCAAATCATGTCACTTAGATCCATGTAAAGCAGTACTTACTACACCCCTCTCACCTGGAGAGTTTACTGAAAGGCATACCTAGGGAAAAGGCATTCATCTAGTGCTGCCCCAGTTTGAAAGCGTACCAAAAAGTATTCACACAAGGTTTGTGTCACACAAGGAGAAACTGTATGTGCCTGTTCTTGAAACCCACAGCAGTAATGGTAACAGAAGAATAACAAGAATACATATCTTGATTCCATATACCAAGCTTTATCCTAGAAAAGGTTGGGATTACTGGACTTAAAAGAACATGGTATTCCGTAATCAGACAACCTTAATTTGGGACCATTCTGGAGACTGCTTACCACAGTGATAATTATACCTAATTTGTTAAAATTCATTTTTTCCAATTATAATAATAATTAGAAAACTATAAAAGTATACAAATGCAGTACGTTTTATCTTAGTTTTCTTCTACTTCAAAATTATATATATTATCTAAAATTTGTTTTTCTTTTCAGGTTATTTCTAAGGTACTTTGATTTTTGTTAAATAATTCAGTTTAAATTCCACGTTTTTATGTAGAAAAAAATCAAGGATTTGATTTCTCTTATATTCAAAAGTGCAATCGTTTTCTTTCTACATTGAGATGAAAGTATTTTGGAGCATAAACAATACACGCTAAATAATTGCAAATAGCTTTTAAAGGCTAAAGTTTGCAATACTGAAGAGCTAAACCAGCATTGTCCATTAGAATTTTTGGTGGTGATAAAAAACAAAAAATGTTCTATACATGCACTACATAACACGATGGCCACTAAAACCATGTGACTACTGAGCACTTCAAATGTAGCTAGCAAAATGGAGGAACAACATAGTTTCTTTTACTTTCACTAATTTAAATTCAAAATAATTTTTTGCCATTGTCTAATGGCTACCAAATTGGACAGCACAAGTCTAGAATTTAATTACTAATACATGTATACTTTTTTTATTGGTACATATGTCATATAAGGTTGTATGCGCAGAAGCATACAGATAAATGGATGCCATCTTGTTACTATCTAAAAGCCAACATACAAATGTTTTATGACTTAAAAAAATGCCACAGATTCTTGCTTCACTTTAATGTGAGGAACTCAGATATTTATTAACATAATTTTGACCAAAAGTAGCCTCCATACCAAATGCAATTATTTAGCCATTTCTGCAAGACTGGAGATTTTTTCCCCAAAAACTAACTAGAAAAATAACTTAATCCTCTGTTTTAATATGCCATTTCACAGCTTGCAATTGCTTATTGTGAATGCTCCTATTTCTTTTCTTGAAACTTTGGCAAAACTATTATGCCAGAACATGATTTACATTTTGTCATTCATTTAAAATTCAGAATGGCTTTTTATGCCATTAAGTCTATTTATTTACATTAAAGACAAATGCATACTTAACAATTTGGAGAAAACAATCAAAAGCTTTTGAATCATTCTAATTGGTGAGGGCTTATTCTTTAAAAAGTAACATCTATTTGATGTAGATCTGTGATCTGACAGAAAACTAATTGTTTTAAGTATTTGTAATCCAAGCAGCAGTGATGCAAATGAATTTAATTATCAGTTTAAAAATCCAAACAATGGGAAGTAAGACAACACGCTGCCTTCAAAGCTATAGTAATAAAAGAAGTGCTAGTACATTTCCTCATGTACCTGGAAATGAGTGGCCCAGATTTGCTTGCACTAAAGTCTACATGCCTAATTTTAATCATTTTGATTGTATAATCAACTTCCCCCAGTCATTTCTAAAGATAAATTAAGATGCATGCTTTCATTAAGAATAAAACACCCTGATTTCTTCATATTTCTAAATAACTTGCCTTTTCCAGGTTTTCTGAGGTAAGAATTCCTGAATGATACTCACAAAAGTAAAATGTACACTGAATCTAGTAATTATATTTATTTTAATTTTCTTTCTTTAAGAACAGACTGTTGGCCAGGTGGGGTAATCTCAGTATTTTGGGAGGCCGATGGGGGCGGATCACCTGAGGTCATGAGTTCAAGACCAGCCTGGTCAACATGGTGAAACCCCGTCTCTACTAAAATACAAAAATTAGCTGGGCATGGTGGCAGGTGCCTGTAATCCCAACTACTTGGGAGGCTGAGGAAGGACAATCGCTTGAACCCAGGAGGCAGAGGTTGCAGTGAGCCAAGACCACGCCATTGCACTCCAGCCTGGGCAACAAAAGCCAAGCTCTGTCTCAAAAAAAAAAAAAAAAAAAAACTGTCTATTTTATATTGAATTTGAGTAAAATGCAAAATATGCAGTGAATTTTACTAAAATCAATGTATTTTACTGAATATTAGACCAACGCATTGTAGTTGGGGATTGCCCCTTTGGCAAAGCTCCCATTTAGTTCCCAACTATTCTGATTTATAGCTAATATGGAGAAAAGTTAGGAAATGAAGAATTTTTGGACTGACACAATTATAAAACCAAGAGGAAAAAGCCTACAGTTTTTAAACCAAAAAACCTAACTTTAGAACCCGGATTTGTGAGTAAGTAGTTTGAGCAAGTCATTTAGACAAATGCTCTTCAAGCTATAGGTCAAGACATTTGTGAGCTGTACAACCCGTTTATGTGTCATAACTGCCATTAATGTAAAAAATCAAATAGAAGGCTGGTGCGGTCGCTCATGCCTGTAATCCTAGCACTTTGGGAGGCTGAGGCGGGCGGACTGCCTGACCTCAGGAGTTCAAGACCAGCCTGGGCAACACGGTGAAACCCCGTCTCTACTAAAATACAATAATTAGCCAGGCATGGTGGTGTGTGCCTGTAGTCCCAGCTACTTGGGAGGCTGTGGCAGGAGAATTGCTTGAACCCAGGAGGCAGAGGTTGCAGTGAGCTGATATCATGCCACTGCACTCCAGCCTGAGCAACAGAGACTCCATCTCAAAAAAAGGAAAAAAAAAAACAAATAGAAAAGAATGAAATAAAATTATTAAAGTGTGGCTACATATACTAAAAATGCCACCTTTTATAAAACTTTTGTTTTATTTCTGCATGTGTCTGTGTGTTTTGGGGGGTACTGGATCATCAAGAGTGCTCACTTTTTCTCTTAAATTGGATTGTGAACAATGTAGGGGAGAAAAAATTGATTTCCTCGCCTATCACAAGGTTCATAGCTGAGACCCCTATAGCAAAAGAAAGGTTAACAAGAGAAAAGCATACAAATGTATTTAATATAAATTTTACAAATGATACCAGGACACAGGAGCATTCAGAAATGAATACCTAAAGAAAAAGGGGAGACCTGTGTATTTTTATGCTAAATTTGATGAAGAGTGGACAACCTGGCAGAAGTATGATTGGAGAACAAAAGGGTGTAATCTAATGGTAATAAAGTTGGGGTGGGGGGGAATGTAGCAAAGCCTGTTTGTTCAGTCTTCTCTGTGTCCCAGTGTGACATTCCTTTCCTTTAGGTATGGGACACATGAGGGGTCTTATGGCCTACTTCAGAGCAAGGCCAGATAATTCTTTTCTGATCTGCTTCAGAGGAAAATGGTGGCAGAAGGTCAGAGACTTTCTCACTTCCGCTGTTTCCCGAAATGCCAAGGTGCCATATTTGGGGATGATATGTCCTAAATCCCACTAACAACAAATATAAAAAAGGTGGAAGCCCCCAATTTAAAAAAAAAAAAAAAATAGATTGTTTAATCATTTGAACTTGGGAATCTTGAAAATATTAAAAAGAATCCTGATTCTTTCTCCGTTTAGCCTTGAACAAGTTATTTAACTATTCTCTGCTTTGGTTCTGTCATATGTAAAATGAGGATACTAATAATGTCTATCTCAGTACGTTGCTTTAAGAATTAACTGAGAGTGCACATATATCTTTGACAAATCAATTAAAATACCTTTGGATATATATCCAGAAGTAGGAAAGTTGGATCATATGGTAATTCCATTTTTAGGTTTTTGAGGAATCTCCATATTATTTTCCAAAATGACCATACTAATTTACATTCCCACCAAGAGTAGACAACATTCTGACCACAAAACATAAGTTAGTGAGGTGATAGATATGTTAATTAGCTTGATTGAATGTTTCTGTAATATATTCATAGATTAAAATATCACATTGTACACCATAAATTACTCAACTGTTACTTGTTCATTAAAAATAAATAAATAAGGTCAGTCACCGTGGCTCACGCCAGCACTTTGAGAGGCTAAAGCAGGTAGATCACCTGAGCTATGGAGTCTGAGACCAGCCTGGGCAACATAGGGGACCCCCATCTCTACAAAAAATAGGAACATTAGCTGAGCATGGTGGGGGACACCTGTAGTCCCAGCTACTTGGGGGTTCAGGTAGGAGGATGGCTTGGAGGTCAAGGCTGCAATGAGCCGCAATGACTCCACTGCACTCCAACCTGAGTGACGAAGTGAGATCTTGTCTCAAAAACCAAACCAAAACAAGATAAATAAATGCAATTAAAGAACTCATGCAAATCCATTATAACAATGCTTGACACTTAATAAAGGCTAGCCATCTGTATGACATCTCTGTTCTATGACTTTTTAGTTACTTTTAGGTTTAATGTGAATGTTTTTTCTTTCTTTTTAACTTAAATGCCGTATAAAGCACTCTTTTAAATAATGTACATAGAAACTTTATCTAAAATTCCTAGTTATGTGATTTTGCTAACAGGCATATTTTTCATGGAACAAAAAGTCACGGACAACAAGCCCTCATTGTCCATTTTTCTCATATGAATTTCTCTGTACTTGAAATGTTACTGTCAGGACTTGGCTCTGCCCTGCTTCTATCATGCCTGTCACCTTATTCAATAGAAACAAGATGAGTGTTCTTGGCATTGGGAAGCAAGAAGTTAGTATTGTAAGTATGATTATTTCACACAATACTAGAAATCGTTGCTGAGGAACAGCCTGCATATTGCCACGGAAGAAGGCTGGGATCCTGTACCCTGAGATAGGCCAAGTGAAATAAGGTCTATTCATAGACTTGTATGGTAGTTACAACATTGGTTGTTTTAGATAATAATGTAGACTTCATAAATCATCTAACACTTGGAAAATATTACGTACCATATAGTAAACTCTTGAAAGAGCATTTTAGTACCCCCAGAACAATGCTTGAAAATTTAAGGCAAATTACTTCCAAATCAACACAATTTTGAGTGTAACTTAACTCTGGCCTTTGATATGGTAAACTGCCAATTATAGCTATCTAGCTCGGATTTAAATTGAATTAGATTAAACTGTGACCCAGTGATTTTTCTGGTTTCTTATGTGGTCAGTGCAAACAGTTATATTTAATGGTGGTAAAGCTGAGATAAAAACGTTAAATGTAAGAGTCAATTGCAAGGTCATTTTCTTTCCAAGTAATGAAAACGTAGTACTTGATCCGCTGTAAAATTACAGGCTAATGACTCAGTCCTACAGAGTAGCTCTCAAACCTTGTTCGATGTACCCACACTGATTTAAGCAAAGACAAAGTATCATTTTGACGATTAAATAATGACAAGGAGCATAAATCACGTCTTAGATGGTGCCACAAAATACAAATTTTAAAGGTCTCAATAGACATTTTTGGATAAAATAATGAGAAAAAAATGTTCAATCAAAGGTGGATGGTAAATATTTACAAATTTTAAAAATAAATATTTATAAGTCCTATTACTTAAAAAAGTAATATAGTACACATTGTAATATTTTAAGAAAGTTTTAGTATTGTTTTCTGAGGCATCAAATTCCATTTTTTGAAAGTATCATGAAGAAGGATATTAAAGTACTTTAGATTGCCCTGCCAACTGTAGGAGACCGAAATATGCCATCCCAAAATATGTCACAAAATATGTCAAGAAAGCAGGCTTGATGGCCGCGGTGGCTCATGCCTGTAATCCCAGCACTTTGGGAGGCAGAGGCGGGCGGGTCACCTGAGGTCAGGAGTTCGAGACCAGCCGGGCCAACATGGCAAAACCTCTACCAAAAATAAAAAATTAGCCAGGCATGGTGGCACACACCTGTAGTCCCAGCTACCTGGGAGGCCGAGGCAGGAGAATCGCTTGAACCCTGGAGGTGAAGGTTGCAGTGAGCCGAGATAGTGCCATTGCACTCCACCTTGGGCGACAGAGCAAGACTGTTTCAAAAAAAAAAAAAAACTAGCTTGCATTTTATTGCTGGATTTCTCAAGTTGTGCTCATAGGGCACAATGGAGAAAGAAAAACATGTTCTAATAACATATTTTCAAGGTTAGCCATTGTCAAAAGTTTTCATTCACTGAAATAAAACAGATTAATGAATCTATAAGAAAGCATATGTATATTTGCCTTTTTCTGTTGTTATTTTTATAGATTTAGGAGGTACAGTGTAGTTTTGTTACATGCATATGTTGGATAGTAGTGATGTCTGGTCTTCTAGTGAAACCATCACTCCAATAGTGTACATTGTACCTAATAGGTAATTTCTCACTCCTCACTCCCCTGCCACAATCTCACCTTTTAAAAAATTTTGTATTTTTAATTTTTGTGGGTACACTGTAGGTGTATAAATTTCTGGGGTACATGAGAGCCTCCCGCCATTTTTTTTTTTTTTGAGATGGAGTCTCGCCCTGTGCACCCAGGCTGGAGTGCAGTGGCGCGATCTCGGCTCACTGCAACCTCCGCCTCCTGGGTTCAATCAATTCTCCTGCCTCGGTCTCCTGAATAGCTGGGATTACAGGCACGCGCCACCATGCCCGACTGATTTTTGTATTTTTAGTAGAGACAGGGTTTAACCATGTTGGTCAGGCTGGTCTCGAACTCCTGACCTCGTGATCTGCCTGCCTCAGCCTCCCAAAGTTCTGGGGTTATAGGCGTGAGCCACCGCACCCGGCCCCTCTCACCTTTTGAAGTCTCCAATGTCTATTATTCCATTCTCTATGTTCATGAAAATATGCCACTTTGACACAGGACTATTTTGAGCTAAAGGCAATTCAGAAGAAGCAGATATAAGTTCTCTGCCCTCCCACTATTTGCCTGAAAACAGTACATACATTTGCAAAGGTGTCCATCCTCTCCTCTCTATCAGAAAGGACAAAGTTTGATCACCAATGACAACTTTAGATCTTTATCAGCCCGGAGACTGCATCAGAGGAATCTACATAATAAATTTTCTTAACTAGCCTTTATCTACCATCAGTTTCCCATATATTTGCCTTCCTGAAATTGGCCACTCATAGAGACTCAGGGTCCTTTTCCCTTGTCTTGTTACTTCTCAAAAAACGTATTGTTCTTTGTCAGAGAAATTTATTCATTTTTCCTTATATATCTTTCATGTATACATGAGGTGTGTATGTTAGTAAACTTTATTGTTTTTTTCTTGTTGATATCTCTTTTGTTATAGGAGTCCCAGTTAAGAAATAAAGGTAGAGGCTAGATGCGGTGGCTCACACCTGTAATCCCAGCTCTTTGGGAGGCTGAGACTGAAGGATCACTTGAGCTCAAGCATTCAAGACCAGCCTTGGCAACATAGCAAGACCCTCATTTCTCCAAAAAGTAAAAAAAATAATAAATTAGCCCGGCATGGTGGTGCATGCCTGTAGCTAAGCTACCGGGGAGGCTGAGGTGGAAGGATGGCTCAAACCCGGGAGGTTGAAGCTATAGTGAGACAAGATTGCATTACCACACTCCAGCCTGGGCCACAAAGTGAGACCCAGTGTCAAAAAAAAAAAAAAAAAAAAAAAAAATCAAGGTAGAGGTAAAATTATGTTTTCTTCCCCTATGCAATGTGTTTCTTTTATTTAAATGTTTATTTAGCAAATTGTTTACCTGATGAACAACTAATCTGAGAGTGAGTAGTATGAGCAAATGGCTTTTGTAAAGATTTTCTCAAATTTACCTGACTTGAGCTAACCACATTCAGATTTTAATTACTTTAAAGTTCTCTACCTATTTATATATATATATACACACACACACACATTTGCATATATATGTTTATATACACACACACACACAAATGCTACATATATATTCTAATTGTTTTATTCATTTTCTGTGTATTTTAACTAACTTATTGAGATGCTTGAACAAATTGAAATGCTTTTTATAATGCTTTTAAAAATAATCACTACATATAACATATTCTCCAGTAGTTGAACAATGTAAAGAATTTCTTATATGTATGACTTTATTCTAACATTCATATTTCTTGGGTACTTACTAAATGTTAGGCACTCACAGCTAGTAATGTAAAATGGTGGGCAAAGTCTCTTCCAAAACTATAGTTTATAGGCTAATAATGGAAGCTTTAGGACACTTTTCCAATAATTACACAACATGTTATAGTTTGAAGTGTGAACCTTCGAAACAGAAGTTGCTGGAAATTCAGTGTCCTTACACTATTCGAAGGATTTATACATGCAGAACCAGAAAACAAACAAACAAAAATATCTCAGTTAAAATCAGTCACTTCAGAGGAAACAAATTGATCGCGATAGCAGTAGGGAAAATTTTGGAGAAAAAATGTTAGCTTTGAAGCAAGCTTGTCCAACCCGCAGCCTACAGGCTGCATGAGGCCCAGGACAGCTTTGAATGCAGCCCAACACAAATTTGTAAACTTTCTTGAAACATCATGAGATATTTTTTAGATTTATTTTTTTTAGCTCATCATCTATCATTAGTGTTACTGTATTTAATGTGTGGCCCAAGACAATTCTCCCAGTGTGGCCCAGGGAAGCTAAAAGTTCTGACAATTCTGCTTTGAAGACTCCCTTTTAAGTTGGCAATGAATGTACTTACATGATTATGTAGGTATTGTTACTTAAATGTAACATGTTACGTTTAACATGTTTAAACATTGATGACCAACGCAGAATCTCAGCACTTTGGGAGGCTGAGGCGGGCAGATCACGAGGTCAGGAGATTGAGCCATCCTGGCTAACATGGTGAAACCCCGCCTCTACTAAAAATACAAAAATTAGCCGGGTGTGGTGGCACGTGCCTGTAGTCCCAGCTACTCAGGAGGCTGAGGCAGGAGAATCGCTTGAACTAGGGAGTCGGAGGTTGCAGTGAGCCAAGAGTGTGCCACTGCACTCCAGCCTGGGTGACAGAGCGAGACTCCATCTCAAAAACAAAAACAAAAACAAAAACAAAAAACAAAAAAAAAACCGAAAAAACAAGAAATGTCTTCTGACCAATTTCTGTTTCTGGTCTGTGCATTTGACTTGAGCACAGATCCATTGTTGCATACTTGAAGCGTCACGTACACGTGTTGAGTTAAGGAAAAAAAGTCACATTTTCTTTTGATCACTCTCCCATGTAACTTCGTTGAAAGTTACCTTTCATTCCTTTTTCCATATCATTTCCTGGGCTAGTCTTACATAATGTTCAAACAGGGATCATGTAACGAATTCCATATCAGTTTATAAGCTAGACTATTAAGATTGGTAAATGTATATTTTGTGTTTTTTTTCTTACTGCTTTGGAGTATTGAAAGGAGTTTTAGTATAGGGGTGTTTTTATACTAAACATACTTTAGTTTACATAATAGAGTGTACATTTACTATACATATTTTATTCAATTCACAATTTTTTTTAAATCTTGCTTTGTTCAATAGTGTTCATTATATACACTTTGAACCTGGCTTCAAAAATAGTACATCCTTCTCTATTTTATGCATTTTATATCAACTATATGTAATTGTTTCAAATTAAGATTTTAGATAATATCCTGTCACATTACACTTAGGTTGTCTGACCAATAGTTTCTTAAAGATTCCTCTATAGTTACATTTTCTAGTTTCCTTTGCAATTAAGTTTAGCCATATAACTGGGTTCTGACCCATGGGATGTTGGTGGAGGTGACAAAAGTCCCTTCCTGACTTAGTCAGAATATTCTAAGACCCCTCTATAGCTATGCTGTGTAATGTGGTAGCCACTAGCCACATGTGGCTTTGGAGCACCTGAATAGTGGCTATCCCGTGTTGCTGAGATTTGCTGGAAGTGTAAAATTCACAACGGAATTTAGAGAGGTGGTACAATAAATAATGCAATAAATAATACTAATTGATATAGTGATTACCTGTTGAAGAAATAATATTTTTGTTTTACATATAGTTAAATAAATATTATTAAAATTACTTCACCTGTTTCTTCTCAGTTTTTAAATGAGGCTATAAGAAATGTAAATACTATATAAACTTTTTGCAATACATTTCTATTGGATGTGCTGCCAAACTTCTCAGGATTCCTATATATCTTTCTATTCTACTACATCTACCATTCATTTCTTCATCATTAATTATTCTATATTTTTTATTATAAATTTACTGTGCGCTAGGCACTCTAATTATTCCATTGTTTATTATAAATCTACTGTGTGCCAGCTACTCTTCTAATAATCACCTACTGTTAAGACACAGGATGGGACATGTGACTTCATGATAAAAAGGGGGAAACACCCTGATATAGGAACTGAATTTTACAAGATTTTTTGTGCTCCAACTTCAGTCCCTGCCAGAACAAGCAAAAGGAGTGACTACAATGTGACTTTCTAAATGGTTGTATTGAGGACCACAGATGCTGGGTCCTGCCTATTAGGAAGAATGGGCACACTGAGTTATGAAATGATAAAAGACTCCTGTGTCTCATTCTTTGGCCTTCAGGGACTGTGGTGATTTTGCAATGTCTGTGAATTGCCCAGGGCTTCAGTGACTGTGGTGATAGTTCTAAAACAGGGACACACAGCTTTAGGAACAGTTTCAGTCTATAAGTCTGACTATATGTACTTCCTGTTGATAAACTCATGCTTTTGTCAGTCTTTTGCTAATACTGAAAAACACTCATGAACCATCCTCCATTTCCCATTATTATTCAAGGACTTTAGACATTCAGAGTTCTCAGACAATTTTTTCTTTTGAAGAGAAAATGTGGGTGGTTTCTTTACAACTTTTTTGTTTTGTGTATTATTATTAGACACTGTCTAATGTTACATAGAAAAGAATTGGTTGAAGACAAGAAAGACAGCGTCTAACAGAATATAAAATAAAGAAAAACAAAACCAAAGCATTCAAATAATTAATATGAATGAGAAAGGTATCATTTGGTTTCGTTTCTACTTTGGCTAGACAGTTTCAGTACTTCTGACTTTTCTCATAAGTCTTTTTTTCTAATATTTTAAGCATTGTTTCTCTTCATTATCTTACTTAATCTAAAACAGTTCCCTCAAAACCTTTTTAATTCTCTTTTAAAATCTCTACTTTTATATCTTTTAAAAATATAGGCATCAACATTATACTTTAATACTAACAAATTTTACTATAGAAAATTGTGAAAGAACCAAAACAACAGTCCTCTTGTTGTAACCACAAGAGCTTACTAATTCATTTTTAAAAGAAATTATATTGCCTATTCATTCCCCTTTTGGTTACCTTCTTGCTCAAGAAGTAAGGTACTTTGCAAATGGCATAGTTGATCCCAGCACCTAGATATATACATCTCTAATCAAGTGCCTTTTCTATTCAGAAGGTAAAAGTGTAGGTGAATTATCAGCCCAATATAATAAGATCTTATCAGTGTGTCACTAGTGGAGGGTGCCCAGGTTCTTGGTGTCTTGATCAAAGAATTGGACAAAATGCACAAACAAAGCAAGGAAGGAATGAAGGGATTTATTTAAAATGAAAAGTACATGCCATAGTGTGAGAGCGGGCTGAGCAGCGGCTCAAGTGCCCAGATAAAGAAAATCTTCTGGGGTCCAAATACCCTCTACAGGTTTCCCATTGGCCACTTCATGCTCACCCCACGTAAATGAAGTGGTGGCCTGCAATTGGTCTGATTGGTTGTGGAAAGCAACCAATCAGAGGCTGAAGTAGAGTTACATAGGACACTCTCCTGTGCAAACATCTGATTGGTTGCAAAAAGCAACCAATCAGAGGCTAAGGTGAAGTTACAAAGTTGCACTTCTGTGCAAAGACTGGGCCCGCAATCAGTCTGATTGGTTGGGAACAGCCAATTTCCCATCTGCTACACAGAAAAGGTGGGAGGTTTGCAAAGGGAGTAGCCTCTGGTCCTTATGTTACTTAGGGGTGGAAAGTTAGGGTTTTGCCTTCAGTTTAGTCCTAGGGAAGTCAGCGTGAAATGGCCTTAGGTTCCCTTCCTCCAGACCCTATTCTCCTGCCTCAAATGTGTGATATTTTTTTCTCGAAAAAAAAAAAAAAAAAAAAAAAAAGAAGAAGAAAAAAGAAAAAAGAAAAAGAAAAAATTCCTCAGGGACCTCTGCACCAGGTGTGCTAAAACAGAGCAACACATGAAAATGTACTTCCTTTTCCTAATTTTTCAAAATTTTAAATTTTTTTATTTTAATACTTTTGGGGGAACAGGTGGTTTTTGGTTACCTGGGTAAGTTCTTTAGTGGTGATTTCCGAGATTTTGGTGCACCCATCACCTGAGAAGTATACACCGTACCCAATATGTAGGCTTTTATCTCTCACCCATCTCCTACCCTTCCCCCTGCTCTGAGTCCCTAGAGTCCATTATATCATTCTTATGCCTTTGCATCCTCATAGTTGAGCTCCCACTTATGAGTGAGAACATACGGTGTTTGGTTTTCCATTCCTGAATTACTTTACTTAGAATAATGGCCTCCAGTTCTATCCAAGTTGTTGCAAAATACATTATTTCATTCCTGTACTTCCCTTTCAACCACAGAAAACAAACAACAAATGTTATCATTTATGAAGAATAAAATCTTGTGTATTTTGGGGAGTGGAAGAAAGGTAGCACTTCTTTTATAAGTTAGTGCTATTATTTTATAACTTGAGACATCTGATTAGCTTACCTATAACAAAGTGGAAATAGAAAATATATAATATACAGTAAACTATTCATATAATGTAACTGTTTAGAATCTTAACTATCAGGCAGTGTATTTAATGATCTTTCAAGTTGCTTCGTATTTTCTTTTTGTCCGTTTTTTTAATTCAAATTATTGGTTTACTGACTTAGATGATAGGTTTGTTCTTTAGCAGATATGCTGAAATGTCTTATATAAATAGTCTCTGAATAAAATCACAATATCAGCTATCATAAAACTCTACTTACATAGCTCGTTTAATATATTATTAGAAACAGTCTTCATTTTAAATGCTTCTTCCAGAATGTATGCACATATTATATAGTGAGGCATACTTAAATATTAACAGGACATTGCTGACCTTCCAAAATTGTATTCGATGTTTCAGAAGTAAGTTATGATACTACAATCAGTAATATAAAGCATTCTGCTATGACTTTATTCTTAAAAGAGAGAAACTAAATCACATTTACTTGAAAACTGGCATATTGAAATGAAACATTTCCATCCTTTGTGGAGATAGAGAACGCTCCAGATTCTTGAAGAGACCATCAGAGAAAATCTAGGCCAACATTTATTGTTACTAAATGCATAAATTTCTCTTTCAGTATCAGGAAAATATATGAGTATGAACATCTATAAATATGTTTTAAAAATTATTTGAAGCCTTTCCAATAAAATGACAGGAAGAAAACCTTTTAAAAAGGTGTAACTCTACAAGCATAAAGAAAACAGGAGAAGAAAAATGAACAACTCAAGATGTTAGCAAATTTTGGGAAGTACTTCCTTGCCTTATGGCTCTAACAAAGGCTGCAGGCTCACCCACTATGTTCCTTGGCCAGGATGAAGTATCATATATTCTTCTAATGAGCTGTGACTTCTTTCAGTGTGGAATGAGACTTACCAATGAATATCTGCATGCTAGGTATACTCATTACTACCAGACCTTCCCAGCTGATAGAAATATATTTTTACAAAACACATTTTAACAAATTGTTAGTTTTTATTGAAAATTTATATTTAATATGATAGTTTTCCCTAAGTTTTAATTTATAATTTTATGTTTCCCTATCCCTTCATCGATATTTATTTTTAGTGTTTTTCTGGTTATTTTTACTTGTGTATTTTTTTATAAAAAGTTTATAATCAATTTATCCAACTCCAGAAAAAAATACTACTTATTATATTGGAATGCCTTTAATTTACACATTAACTTAAAAACAATAGTTTACTTTATAATGTTAAGCCATGCTTTTCAGGAACAAGGAGCATCTTTCTCCTTGATTTCCTTTTGGGTTGTTCAGGAGAGTTTTAAACATAGGTACTGAAATTTCTTGTTAAATGTGTTTCTTGTTTTTGCTGTTGTTGCTATTGTTGCAAATGGGTGTGCACCATCCATAAAAACTTCTAGCTCATTACCTATAAAATGAATTTTACTGATTTTGCCTGTAAATTTTATAGTCTGCTAACTTACTAAATTATTTTATTGGTATTTGTTTGTGTTCATATTTGTGTTTGTTAATATTATTGTTTTGTGTGATCTCTTGAGGTAAACAATTCTATCTGTAAATTGGGATCCCATTACCACTGCTTGCAATTGTTTTGCCTCGAATTGGTTTATCTTGTCTGGTTGCAATGGCTAATATTTTCAACACAATGTTAAGTATTAATGGAGGTAGCTGTAGTACTCATATGGTTTTCCTGTCTTTATCCAGAATGCATCAGATGTTTCTTCTTTAAGTAATGTACAAACTTTTGGACTTTACACACACACAAACACACACACACACACACACGCATATATATATATAATATGTCAACAAAATTATTCAATTCTGTTTTATATTAAATGTACTTTAATCATGAAATAGATTTTAATTTTATCAAATGTTAGTATCTCACACTTAAATATAAACCAAAAGCTAAGATCACTTGTAATTTGAGGAATGACTTCAATAATGAGAAACAGTTCCTCAAAATAAAGCAAATAAGAACAAATGGGAAGAAGACAGAAAACATGAGCAATGCAAGCAGAAGAGAATTATGGGAAAATTATAATTGAGGTCCACAGAAAGTTAGGAGAGAAATAATTGTATTTTATAAAACAAGGTCATGACAATATAAAAAAATGAACAAAAACACCTATAATTGACATCCTATTTAGTGGTGAGAAAATGAAAACTTTCTCAGGAAGATCAGGAACAAGACAAAAATGTCTCTCTTACCACTCTTTTTCAACATCATATTGGAAGTCCTAGCTAATGCAATAAGACAAAGAAAATAGACATATCTATTGGAATGTAGAAATGAAGCTGTATTTCTTCATAGATGACATGACCATCTATGTAGAAAATCTGAAAGAATCGAAAAATAACCCTGGAAATAATAAGCAATTGTAGCAAAGTTGCAGGACACAAGATTAATATATAAAATTCAATTGTTTCTTACACACCAGCAGTGAACAAGTGGAATTTGAAATGTAAAACACAAAGCCATTTCCACTAACATTTTCAAAAATAAAATACTGAGGAATAAATCTAAAAAATATACAAGATCTTTACAAGAAAACTACAAAACTCTGATGAAAGTTATCAGAGGAACTAAATGAATGGTGAAATATTCAGTGTTCATGGATAGAAAGACTCAATATTGTAAAGAAGTCAGTTCTCCTCAAGTTGATCTACAGATTTAACGCAATCCCAATCAAAATCACAGCAAGTTACCTTGCCTTATATAGACAAACCGTTTCTAAAGTTTATATGAAAGGCAAAAGACCCAGAATAACCCACACAATATTGAAGGAGAAGAACAAAGTTGGAAAACTGACACTATCTGACTACAAGACTTACTATGAAATGACAGTAATCAAGACAGTGTATTGGCAAAATAATAGACAAATACATCAATAGAACAGAATAGTGTGGAAATAGACCCACATGAATACAGTTTACTGATCTTTGACAAACGAGCAATGGCAATAGAATGGAGCAAAGATAGCCTTTTCAACAAATAATGCTGAAACAACTGGACATCTACATGCAAAAAAATGAATGTAGACATAGACCTTGCACTCTATCAGATCAGAAGAGAGACAAAGATCAAGTTACTGCTACTGGATTTACAAGTTAACGTTCACTGGTTGTACACACTCATACAATGCTAGAGGCACTTGTATCATCTCTCATTGTTCCTTATTTTTTAATAGAGATAAATGTATTTATTCTTGTTCTTGAGGATAAATTTTAGGAGTTGAAAATAAATACTCCTTCCATAAAAACATACTAAAACTAAAATTATTTTCAATGATTTTCCATGGGAAATTTACCTATACTTTGCCACCAAACTCTCTCTTGCAATAGTCTTTCTTATCCCAGTAAATAACCATCCCATCCTTCCTTTTGCTCAAGCTAAAACTGTTTTTCTCCACTCTCTCAATCTCCATTTTTAGTCCACCAGCAAATCCTGTTACATCTACTTTCAAAATGTATCCAAAATTCGATCATTTCTCCCCAGATCCATGGACATCAACCTAATCCTAGCCACACGCACACACCCAGCCTTCATTACTACATTATCCTCTAACTCATCTCTCTACTTCTACCTTTACATCCTACATTCTAACTTACATTATTTCTGGCTACTGTTCAGAACTCTCAAAATCTCCTAATCTCCCACAATGTACAAGCCAAGACCTTTACAATGGTCAATAAGGCCCTATCTGATTTGTCCTTCTAATACCACTCCACTTGCAGATCCTACCGCTCTTCCTCAGTCACTCTGCACCAGCCATCTTGACTCCCTTGTTATCCCACAAACACGCACTCCCTCCTCAGAGTGTACATATTCTTCCCTCTGCCTAGAACTCTCTTCTCCAAGACACCTGCAAGATGCCCTCCTTTCCTTCCTTCAGGTTTTTTGTATGCCTCTTAAGTGAGGCTTTTCCAGGACCCACTACATAAAATGGCAACCTACCCTTTGAAATATCCCTATTCTACCCTTATCCTGCTTTATTTTTTCTCTTAGCACTTGTCACTCTCTGAAATTCTATATTCTACTTGCAGAGAGAAAAAACAAACAAGTTGACAAACAAATATAGAGAACGTCAGATAGTTTGCTAAATGTTTCCCTCTTTGGTTTAGCTCGCTAGCTAACAGGGCCTTATGATTAAAGGGACTTGATCTCTTAACTGTTATATTCAAAACACTAGAGCACCTGATATGAAATAGATAGAGAATGTAGACTTCATGTGTATTTCTGTCAAAGCATGTTTCCTTAAATATAAATTATTTGTAAAGGATAAGAACTTCAAGTACAGATATGATACTCAAAATATTTATTCTCTGACTGACATAATAACTGCAGGTAATTTTAATAGGACTAGTTCCTATGAAAAGTACTCTCCGTAGACCTTGTAGATCGAAGACATTTTTTTTTCTTCAGGCCAGGTAAACTAAATCAAAGAAAGAAACATTTAGCAAATTCATCTGCAACTCTCATTTGTTCTCATTAAAAGACAGCTAATGCTAAACCAAAGAGTAACTTCACACATTTCTAATGAAAAGGTCTCTTAGTTTGCACTCATCACCTGGCCACAATTCTGGACAAGACCGAAAGTGATCACTTGTTTATTGATCACTTTTTGTCCATTTTTACTATTACTTATCTCTGCATATAGAACTGGCATAGTGAAATTAGCTAAATTAGGATACAAATAAGCAAAGCCCTTTTAAAAACCATACTCTGCCTTTTATGTTCCAAGATACATACAAGTCTGCCCTCCATGTGCATTACAAGAAAGGTTTCTACAGTTAAAGTTATATCAGTACATTACTGTCAGAGTAGATCTTAATTCTTTGTGTTCTGGCTACCATGATCATAATTTGAAATATAATTCTAGGAATCCATAGGAATCTTGGTAAGGTTAAAAATGCAACACCCTTAAGTGAAGCACAGAGGAAGACCTTCAGAGTGTCACTAAAATGAAATCCTTCTGCTGAAGCAAAGTAAAGCACAAAAGAGAGATTGAAAGACTCTGTAGGTCAATTGGAAATGTTTTATTCTTAAGAAAAATATATAGTAGCCCATGAAAGGATTGCAGTGAAAGAAATTTGCGGATACAGTCAATAGTAATGCCACAACGAACTGTTTTTTTCTAACCTTTGAACACAATTATATTAATATCTTTATTCATCACCTATCTGCCCTGAAACACAAAATAACTAGGATTGTTAAAAATATATATATACATCAGATAAGTATTTTTAAGTCTTATAACCTAAAACAACTATATATACGTATATATACGTATATATACACATAAATGTATACGTATATATATACACATATATGTATACGTGTATATATACACATACTCATATATGTATATATACGTGTATATATACACATACTCATATATGTATATATACATGTATATATACACACGTATATATACGTATATATACATATGTGTATATACACTTATGTATATATACGTGTGTATATATACACACATACACACGTATATATACACATGTGTGTATATATGTATATGTGTCTATATGCATACACACATATACATATATGTGTATATATACGTATATATGTATATATATGTGTATATATACGTATATATGTATATATATGTGTATATATACGTATATATGTATATATATGTGTATATATACGTATATATGTATATATGTGTATATATACACATATGTGCATATATGTGTATATATACACATGTGCATATATGTGTATGTGTGTATATATACACATATGTGTATGTGTGTATATGTGTATATACACATGTGTGTATATGTGTATATGTGTATATACACGTGTATATACACATGTGTGTATATGTGTATATGTGTATATACACGTGTATATATGTGTGTATATGTGTATATACACATGTGTGTATATGTATGTGTATACACATATGTATGTATGTGTATACACATATGTGTGTATGTGTATACACATGTGTGTATATGTATATGTGTATATACACATATGTGTGTATGTGTGTATGTGTATATACACATATGTGTGTATGTGTGTATGTGTATATACACATATGTGTGTATGTGTGTATGTGTATATACACATATGTGTGTATGTGTGTATGTGTATATACACATATGTGTGTATACGTGTATATGTGTATACGTATATGTGTATATGCACATATGTGTGTATACGTATATGTGTATATGTGTGTATATGTGTATATACACACATATGTGTATATGTGTGTATATGTGTATATACACACATATGTGTATATGTGTGTATATGTGTATATACACACATATGTGTATATGTGTGTATATGTGTATATACACACATATGTGTATATGTGTGTATATGTGTATATACACACATATGTGTATATGTGTGTATATGTGTATATGTGTGTATACACATGTGTGTATATACACGTGTGTATGTGTATATACACATATGTGTGTATACACATGTGTGTATATACACGTATGTATGTGTATATACACATATGTGTGTACATGTGTATATACACATGTGTATATATACGTGTATATATACACAAATGTGCACATGTGTATATATACATGTATATGCACATATGTGCACATGTGTGTATATATGTATATATACGTGTATATATACATGTGTGTATATGTATATATGCATATATTTGTGTATGTATATATGCATATGTGTGTGTATATGTACATATGTGTGTATATATGTACATATGTGTGTATATATGTACAAATATGTGTGTATATGTACATATATGTGTGTAAATATGTATATATGTACATATATGTGTATAAATATGTATATATGTACATATATATGTGTGTATGTATATCCATATATATATATATACACATTTTTTAAAAAATAGGTATAGGTTGAGCCTCTCAAATCCAAAAATCCCAAATCCAAAATGCTCCCAAATCAGAAACCTTTTGAGGGCTGACATGACACACAAAGGAAATGCTCATTGGAGCATTCTGGATTTCAGATTTTTGGACTTGAGATGCTCAGCCAGTAAGTATAATGCAAATATTCCAAACGAAAATCCAAAATTTGAAACATTTCTATTTTCAAACGTTTTGGACGAAGAATGCTCAATCAGTATCAGATTGATTGATTTTGAGTCTTTTAACTCATTCAGTTTTTGAGTATAGTCCCCACAAAATAAATCCCAATTTAAATCAAGTACTTGCATTGATTCTCAACTGGAAAAAGGTCATTCCCCTTTGAGGGTTCAATAAATTCCTCAGTGGGGTTTCCTCCAACATTCTCTACTACAGACCTGATTAAATTACTGAAATTCTAACACTGTGGTTCTCAAAGTGTGGTTCTTTGGCCGTCAGCATCAGCATCACCTGAGGACCTGTTAGAAATCCGGATTCCTGGGTCCCACCCTAGACCTATGGAATTAGAAACTCTGACTATGGGCCTCAGCAATCCATGTTTTAACACATTTTCTAGGTAATTCCAATGCGTTTTGCTGCATCGTTTTGGAGTGTGCATGGTATCAAACAACTCTACAAAAATGGTAGCCTGCTTGCTTTTCCATTTTAGGTCTCTATGTCTATTGCCAAATGTAAAGGGTAGACTTCAGACCAAATTTTGCATGAAGCATTAGTGGTGGTGGGGCAGTCTAATTCTTCTATCATTGCCTGTTGTTTTAGAGCTTCACAGTCTTCAATCAGAAGTTGCAAATTAACATGACTAAGCCATTATCTTATTGTTGGCTCAACCAGCCCCACAACAATATAATTCTTCAAGAATGGCATTATATGCCCTCTCACAACCTCTCTTCTTCACTCCTAAAGATCTCCCTTGCTACTACTCACCTGACAAGTCATACTTCTTTGATTATTACACATTTCTACATGCAATTCCTTCTGCCTTCATCTTTCTTGAAATTGTCTCTGCGTAGACAACACCAGACTAAATGTCACCATATTTTAAAAAGCTATTATCCTCTCCAAGCAATTAGTCATTCTGTCTTCTATGTTCCCACAGCATTTCTATTGCATTAAAGATTATGTTTTATTTTAATTATTTGTTGATGCAATTGTTTCCTTTCTCAGATGATAATCTCTTGGAGAGGGAAAACCATGTTGGGTTATGCCTTCATCACTGTATGACAGTATGATTAGCACATAGCTGGCATTCAATAAGTATTTGTTAAATGTTGAAAGGTTATTTTAGTAAACATATATCTCTGATAGGATGGTACCAGAGTGTCAATTGTTCTTTTCTAAATAAAAATGCTTCACTAATGTCCATGTATGTTGTTTTGCTAGAAAGCAAAATAAAATCAGATAAATAATGGATAGGCCCATCAGCCATAAAGAATTGGTTTTTTTGCTAGCAACTATCATGCTAATTGGTAAATATTTACATATGCAAGCTAAATATGCTTGGCACTGAGACCACTCCAGAGAATATAGGTGTAATCAATAATTCCAATTTTCTTGTATCAGGACATGATAACCTAGAGACCAAAACATTTACCTTCTAAAAGGAATTGTCAAGATCTCAGTAACACTGGGTTGATAAACAGCAACATATTTCTAAGAAACTTCTTTACTATTAACAATAAGTGATTTGTCTTTCTTTGAAAACAGTGAGACCTATCACAATCCATTTTTGTCTCACTAACTGAGTAATATCCTTTGTTACTTAGGTACTTTGCAAAGATTGTTTCAGGAAAACATTCAAGGGAATGGTTCTCAGTAGATTAAACCATTTAGTATAATCATCTTGATTCCAAACACAAACACATCATTCGACAAGTCATCTTAACACCAAGTGTAGATGTTAGGGAGTTCACATGCCAGTAAAGTGGTATTTTGAATTTCGTATAAAACTGTTTTAAGTTAATATTCAAATAATCATGTAAACACAATAATTTGTTTATGAGTAGTAGAAATAAAAAGCAATGTTTGAAAATGACAATATCACTTTAGATAACTCTACTGCAAACTAAGTTTACTTCACTCACCAAAACGCAGTATGTAAAAAATATTAACATTTAAAGTACAAACAGTTCTCGACTTAAGATATTTTGACCTTATAATAGTGTAAGGTGATACTCATTTAGTAGAAACCGTATTTTGAGTACCCATACATGCATTCTGTTTTTCACTTTCAGTACAGTATTCAATCAATTACATGAGCTAGCTTTATTATAAAATAGGTTTGTGTGAAATGATTTTGCCCAGCTCTAGGATAGTGTTAAGCCAGCACATTTAAAGTAGGGTAGGCTAAGCTATGTTGTTTCGAAGGTTAGGTATATTAAAGGCATTTTTGACTTGTGATATTTTCAACTTATGATGGGTTTATAGGGACCTAACCACACAAGTTGAGGGGCATTTGTATTAGAAATCATTCAGAAAGAATCAACTAAAAAACTTCCTAAACAATGGTTGCATTTTGGGGTTACTAAACATTCAAAGGTAGATTAAATCCTCTGTGAGTAAGCGAGCATTTAATACCACCTGTTATTGAGTCTTCACTGTCTCCAACCCCCCTGCCTGCTTCTCATAGGACTTATCAATTTGATGATTTGTCCCAAAAATGCATTATTGGGTAGGTGGAATTTTTGTCCCAACAATAATAGGTATGGAAATATCATGAGTTTTAGAGTCCATTTTCTTGGGTCCTAGCTTCATCTCTCCTATTTACTGTGAGCAAGCCACATAAATTCACATTTTACTCATCTTGAATACTTGTATCATATGATTATTGGAGCAACTAACCATATACATATAATTTTCAGTAGGATTATTAACATCATGGTATACATAAACAAAAAGTTCCCAATCCTCACTATTTCTGAAACGAGGATTTCCGTAAGTTTCCTGTATCAATATTCATCTCTCCAAAATAATTGCACTAAATAATTCAATTGTTACCAAAGTCTTGTGCAGGCTGCTCATCAGCATCCAGAGACATAGTTCACTGTACGTCATCTGCTCTAATGATTTAATTCTTCCTATTATCAGATAAAAACAAACAGGAAGCCAGGGGCACAGGAGCCATTTTAGATCTATGTAAAACCTTCCATGGCACAATAGCTCTGCTCGATTACTTCTGTTAAAGCAGGCACATTGCACAATAGTTATATATAAATGTGTTAGCTATATACAGATTTAGAATTCACTTACACAATGGAAAGGTACATATATATTGTTACCTCCTTCACTGAAATAATGTTTTGCCACTTTGTCCCAGTATCATCCTTTTTTAAAAACTTCTAAGCTCATTTTAAATATAGAATATGTTTACTGGGTGTGTGTATATGTATGTGTGTGTGTGTGTGCGCGCACGCGCGTGTGTGTGTTTGTGTGTACGTGTTGAGGACATGAATTGGCATACAGAGTGTAATAGGATAGTAACACATGAATAAATGCTCTGTTTTCCCTGTTTGATGCCAAGAAGGTAGCCAAAACCATAATCAATAAAGAAATGAACAAGTATCCAGAGGAAAATCACCCTTCAAAAACTTTAGTTCTGAAAATCTAGATTCATGTTAAGGATTGATATATTGTCCCAACTGAACAGGCTATTGGGATATGGGAGTTAAGATTCGGGGACAGTGGAAATTTGCAATCAGTCAGATTAAAGAGAGGTTTAATGAGCTTCCTCAAACACAGGGAAAGGGATGAAGTTGTGAAGGCCAACATCCTACTCCCTTTACAGAGTTTCCAAATGTTGTGCTGAGACAACCTACTTAAATGGCTGTAGAGGCCAGATACCAAGCACAGAGCATCATCAGCAAAACCTTCCGTGTTCAAGCAAGGCAGGGCATTGTGGACAAGCTGTCCTTTATGTAGTCATGTTTACTTGGCTATTAAGCATATCAGCTATGACCAAAATGCACTGAAAACCAGGACACTTACAGTATTCTGGACTCTACCTGGCCCTTTGGAATGGAAGTGGGAAGAAGTAGAAGAATGCAAAATGTTACGGAGATTGAATTTCTCACCAGTCAGATTGTTGGGGTTACTAGTTGCTGCAGGAACAGATTCAACCAATGTAGAGAAACAAGGAAATATGGCTTATTACAAACTAGGTTATAGAATCAAAATTCATGTGCATTTCAATAGCATCATGAAATTATGGAGTTAGGAACACAATGATTACAATTAAAATATCATGTTCTCAAGAAGACCAGGTAACATCATGGAAAAGAATAGAAGTAAATAAGAAGGAGAGATTCAGTAGAAAAAAATTCATAAATATATGCATTTTTCAATTCAATTCAGAAAATACATTACATAATGACAAAAATGGGAATATTTTGTGTTTATATGATTTACTATTTATAATGCCCTTTTATTATATGTTTTGTTACAAGTAGGCAAGAACATATAAGAAAAATAAGACTCAGAGAATTTCAATTTTATATTCACCTTTCTTTTCAAATAAATTAAAGTATGGATATAACGTTTTCTCCTAAGGTAGAGAGTAGTGTGAAGAAGCCTGCTTTATCAAAAAATAACGTGCTGGTGGGGCTGCGGAGAAAATGGAACACTTATACACTGTTGGTGGGAGAGTAAATGAGTTAAACCATTGTGGAAGTCAGTGTAGTGATTCCTCAAAGAGCTAAAAACAGAACTACCATTCAACCTAGCAATCCCATTACTGGGCATGTACCCAGAGAAATATAAATCATTCTATTATAAGACACGCATACATATGTTCATTGCAGCACTATTTACAATAGCAAAGACGTGGAATCAACTCAAATGCCCGTCAATGATAGACTGGACCAAGAAAATGTGGTACATATACACCATGGAATACTATGTAGCCATAAGAAAGAATGAGATCATGTCCTTTGCAGGGACATGGATGGAGTTGGAGGCCATTATCCTTAGCAAAATGATGCAGGAACAGAAAACCAAGTACTGCATGTTCTCACTTATAGGTGGGAGCTAAATGATGAGAACACACGGACACATAGAGGGGAACAACACACACTGGAGCTTATCGGAAGGTGGAGGGTGGGAGGAGGGAGAGGATCAGGAAAAATAATTAATGGGTACTAGGCCTAATATCTGGGTGATGAAATAATCTGTACAACCAACCCCCGTGACACAAGTTTACCTATATAACAAACCTGCACATGTACCCCTGAACTTAAAATAAAAGTTAAAAAAAGAAAGGCTACCTTACTGACTCAAAAGTTTAGTGTTAATTTACCCTACATCATGCTTATCATGCTGGCTAAAAGGTAAATTAAAAAGAAATCTTGCAAGAAGTATGTCATATCAATTTATTTTATCACATGATATTGCCCAAAGAGGGTGAGTCCTGGATTTTTAATGTGGACATATATGTTGCGGCAATGAAGAGGTAAATGAACTATTGTGGCAGGCCAGGTCTCACTAATGCAGGCCTCCACAACAACTGTTTCAGCACTGACTGAGTGGTAAAGTTACATATTAAAAGCTGATAGAGCCAGCGCCCTTAAACAAAGGCTGGACGGTAACAAAAGCCCACCAAGAGTTTTGCCCAGGCCTTTCCTGGGCCTTGAAGCATGACAAGATAATGAAGGAATTCTTAACAGGACCCTTTTAGAATTAAAAAAGCTTTATTGGGGGTCTGAAGAAACTCCCCAGGACTCCACAAACAAGTTTACTGGGCATCTGAAGGAACTCCCCCAAACTCCATGATTTAGCCGGAGATAAGATAAGGGTAATCATCCCAGCACCTGGACCCATTTAGATAAAGTAAATTTACTGAGGCTCCAGAGGAATGTCTTCAGGAATCAGATCTTAGTTACAGATCAGAAGAAGTTAATCATTTATGTCTTTAGATGGATACACACTTACATGTAGACATACAGCGTAGAAGGTATATAAGCTCTGGAAAACTTTATAGTTTTGAGTTGGTCTGGGGATAATTTCCAGGTCTTCTCCCTGTAACCACTTACAGAAATAAAAACTCTCTCCTTTTCCCGTTCATCTGCATCTCGTTATTGGGCCACAAGAATAAGCAGCCCAATCCTCAGTTTGGTCCAGGAACACTATCATATCATGGGCTTTTGTGAAGACATTAGACAAAACTAATTATGCATTTCTACTTCATTTAAGTCAAACATGCATACTATGTTGGAAAAAAATCAGACAGAAGAGTGAGTATGGAAATAAAGATGATTACTAAATTCAGTATAGGATCAAAACCATCATATCACTCATTGGGAGATAGTTTATCTCTCTCAATTGAGCTGGCAGTAAATATTTTTTCCCATAAAATTTTTTCTCAAACACAAACATCAAGCACATTTTATGACAAAATTATTTTTGGTCATGTTTTCAAAACTGTACTTCCCTTTATTAAGCCGGCATGGATGAGCAAGATTTTTATAATGCGAATCATATTTGTCATAGAGTATACACGAGGCTTTTTAAAGGATTATAACATATCAATAAATTACATGGAAAGAATATTTACTCTGAATTAATCTTATCTAGAAATGGTTTTGTGTTTATGTGGAGATAAATATTGTTCAGTTATCTCTATATAATAGATGTGATAAATCACATTCTAGTAGAATTTTTTGGAATCAAAGTTAATAGAAGACTTATTTTAAAAAGAGATAGGGCTTATTTTTAAAATGGTACCAGGAAAGTGGAAAATCAGTTAGATTTACTGCAAAGACACATTTGGCTTCAAATGACGCCACAACAACAAGGATACATTTAATCACATTTATTTCCTTTAAATATCCCTTCCGTAGCTTTACAAAATAACAAGGAAATATTTTGTTGTCTCTCTATAATTTACAAATATTATATAAATGTGTGTATAAAAGGCAATGAAAAATTATCATCTGTCTGTGTGGTAAAGTAGACACAGATAGACATTAATACGACTATAAAAATGAATATGAGTTAGATTTATTAGTGAGGCATTTTTATAGTTGTATGAATGTGTGTGTGCCTGTGTCTAATTTACCACACAGACAGAATTTTTCATTCTCTTTTTTCTCTTTTTAAAGTCTTCTTCAACACAATTTTTCCACCCAGTTTTTCTTCTGTTTCTACAGTTAGCATAGATTTAATGATTTGTACTACTGACCTAGTATATTTATTATATTTATATAGTGTACTAGTAATAAACAATGAGATTATATAGAAGATATACATTCCTGCCTTTGATGGGCTCACATTTTAGAGCTTTCTTCATAAAGGTTACCAGATTCCCTCTAGCTCAGATTACTGCCTTCTCAGACCACCCACACTGAGCCCACTCAGTTCTAACTCCATTTATCAATTAACCAAAAACTCCCAAATAACTGTGTAGGTTCCATGAGTTCAGGAGATTCCACTTCAACTAATCTGTGTATCCTACAGGGCTAGAATTCTGCTGAAAGGCATGCAGCGATGCAATAAATTGCCAAATGATATATATATCACAATTATGTTTATCTTTTGGTTTCACCAAGTGGCTTAAACTGAATCAACTAGCTTCCTCTAAATTCCCATCTTCTTCAAAAGTGTCTAAAAGAATGCAGTCACTTAGCTAAGTTTTGACAGAAAAGAATAAGAAAAGAGGAAAAAGATTCTTTGCAAGTTCTCAAAATTAGAAGTTAGTGCACAGGTATATATACATTTTACCTTTAAATAAGTTTTCTCCTCTGTCTTTGTAAACTTTTATTTCTATTCCTGACACCTAGGATATGCTTGATAATAGAATTTCTGTACTTGAAAGAATGGTGACTCTCCTGATCAGTTATAACAGACTTAGGGAGAACATTTGTAATATAAATGAAAAGTGTGAGTTGAGTTAGAGGATGCAAATATTTTGGAAGAAAACAATAAATGTGCTCATATATGTGAATATTTTACAGTTTTAAGATATGGGCATTCATAAGGACAGAAAAAAATATACCGAATTGCTCTGAGGCAGTGCTAACAATATATAAATAGAGGATGGATTGGATATCAAGCTTTGATTTCTATATTAACAGGTGAGTTGTGATAAATGATAATGGAAAAGGTTAATGCACAGAGCGAAGATCTATTTCAACTTGCGGGAATGAGGATACACAGTACTTGTCATGTTTACACACCTTTTAAAAATTACTCTAGTTCAATTCAAAGATTCAGAGTATTGTTACATTTACTATTTCAGAAAATTTCTTCACAATTCTGATTTGTCTGTATGTTTGTTTGAAAATATGTCTCTTGTCTGCTTCAGAATTCCAAAACTTAAAAATGTCAATGATGCCAGTATATACAGCAATTAAACTATATATAACCATCTTATAAATATTCGGAGAATTATGAATAACTTTCCTAAATATCCTAGGTTTACTTTTTATTTATTCTTCTATATTTGTGTTGTTATATTTTATTTCACTTAGCTAAAAAAAGTTGAGGATTTAAAAAACGTTTTTAAAATACATGTTTCTGTTTACGTCTGTAATAGAAATTTGTTAATTATTCAGCAAGTAAATAAAATGAACTTTTATTAGTTAAAATTCAGTAAGTTAAATTAAAGAGTACATGGCAACATTCTACTACCAAATACCACAAAGAATAGACGATATTCTAAAAATGTTTGTCATAGAAAAGGGAGAACTTTTGAGATTGGATCTCCTAGTGGATTGTTTTGGCTCCATTATCATGAATTTTACAAAATCAGACCCATAGAGGGAGTAATTCATAGCTATTAAGAGTTTCAGGCATTTTAGTAGAAATTTTCACTTTTAGTGACTCTTTAAATCATTACAATAAGAAACAAAATATCCACTATCAAAACTATGCCACTCTTAAAGCCTTGGGTTTAAGGGCCATATTTTATTAGCTTTATTTTTCCATTATCTAGATTTGATGTCTCAATTAAGCAATCAATATATACATATACAAACATTCATGATGGAAACATAAGAAAACCGACTCACCAAACATTTGATTGATTTACCCAAATCGAGAATAATAATTAAAATGCAAGTCTTTTAAACTTTGACATCCCAATAAACCTCCATATATTGCATTCCTAATACTAGTTTTCAAGGTAAGAATATCTTGCTCTGTGTCCACCTATAATCATCTAGAGTCACGCTATTGATTAAAAATTGAGTTGTATTTGCAAATTAAGTAAATATTAAGAGTATGGATTGAAGCCTGCACAAAAACAAGATGAACTTATTGTCTTTAATCATTTGAAATATGCTCTAAACTATAGTGGCTGAATACACCCAAAGCAATTATATTGCTTTTCTTGAACTTGGTAAAGACCAAGAGGGACAAAAAAATGATAATTTTCACAACAAAATTCCCTCATATCTTCTTCTGCTGGGTGACATATTCTAGCTACTTGATGGAAGATTGCAGCTATAAACTCTGAGGACTCATGTCATTAAAGAAACTCACATTGTCAAGAAGAATCAAAGATATACATTTTATATAATTAAATAGTGTATCTTTGCCATATCTTCTGCTGCTTACTCCTTAAATAAGAGTGAACATAATATTTCCAGATTTGCACAGCTAAAATAAAATGACACTATGAGAGAAATAAAACGGATTTTTAAGATACACAGGTACATAGTCCATTTTGAAAATTTCACAACTTAGATCTTAAAAGTAAAGTAACAAACCATTCTTACCTTAGAAAATTGTGCATTTACCCATTTTGTGAATGTTTTCTTTTGAACATCTTCTCTTTCATCTAAAATGCAAAATAAAAAAATAAAAGTTAGGAAGCAACTTTAAATATAATTCATATTTTACAACCAAAGTAACTTTCCATTATGATGTGTTAGTGTTTTTTTACATTTAGTATTACATTCATTGATAAATGGAATTAAACATGAGTGATGCTGGTTTGGGGCATCCAAATTAAAATTACTTCTGAAAAATGGCCAGGCGCGGTGGCTCACGCCTGTGATCCCAACAGTTTGGGAGGCCAGTGAGGACGGATCACTTGAGGCCAGTAGTTTGAGACCAGCCAGGCCAACATGGCGAAACCCCATCTCTACTGAAAATACAAAAATTAGCCAGGCATGGTGGCATGCACCTGTAATCCCAGCTACTTGGGAGGCTGAGGCAGGAGAATCATTTGAATCCAGGAGGTGGAGGTTGCAGTGAGCCGAGATCATGGCACTGCACTCCAGCGTGGGCGACAGAGCAAGATCCCGCCTCAGATTTGTAATATCTGAAAAACAATTAATATGACCAAACCCATAGTCGTTCAAATACTGTATGATTATAAAAAAATAGTCTCCTCTGAATAACAGTATTTATTCGCCAGTTATGAATAGATACTCCAGTATAATTAAAAGAAACTCTCAGCTGTCATTTACTCCGAAAAACTATTTCGGAGCCTTTCCCCATGCCATCCACCCAACCATGGAGAAATGATTATTCCTTCCTTTGCAGCATCTACATACTCTAACATGGGCCTGATCTCACTATGGAAGAGGTTTCCTGATGAGCAGGAGCATGGTTTAGTTATCTTTGCTTCCCAGAACTTAGCACACTGTCTGAACAAATTAAGAGCTCAGAAAATACATCTGACAAATACGTGCATGCTTTAAGGAAGGGGAGATTCTACAACTCTAAAATTTCTAGGACCTCTTTTCATCTAAAAGTCAGAACATTTCAAATAAAAATGCAAATGATACTCTTCATGCCTTACATATAAATACTCAAAGAAAAAAGTCCCCAAAGATTTATACTAAGGGATTAGGGAGAAAAATTATTAAAAAACAGCTTCACTGAATTCATGCTTCTACAAATGATCTTTTTGCCCCTAAACTGGAAATTAGTATTAAGTCAAATGGACAGAAAAATCATCAATCTTGATATATTAAAATGTTTTTCTCCAAGCAAAAGACTATTTTTTTAATTATTGTAAATATAATCATATTAGTTAATGTTCAGTAAATGAATGCATCTGAGAGATATTTAAAATTGATAAATTTTATATTTTATCTACTTGGATTAAAAGAACCGTTATTAAAATGCCCTTTACAAAGTAATCATATTTGCTCTCATATATTTTTCAGTAGTAAATCTCCGTTGCTTCTCTTAAAAACATAAGGAATCACTTTCGCATAACAAATATATGCATGCACCAAAAATATCTGTTTATCTTTAAATCACAATACTAATCTATAAGTAGATTCCTTTAGTCAATATGAGAAATAACAGTGAATAAATAAATTTCAAACTGTCATCTTAGGTGAGAAATTTTATTTAGCATTACAAAATACATTTTTCTTATTTAATTATGTTATTCACACAAGCTTCTATATGTATGTTCAATATCAACATTATTCATATGGTATATGATAAATCTTAGCTACAATATGGAAGTATTTCCTTTGTTGACAAGGGTGAATAAATAAAAACAGATAGTAATAGTTTTCAAACCTATTCTAGCCTCCTTCAAATCTTTACTTTCATAAAATTAATACTAGCCCTTCCAAAATAATTTTAAAAAGAAATGGAACATTTCAAATGGTCAAAATTAAACCATCTTCATAGACTTTATGGAGGAAGATTGGTCAACGCATCATTTATCAGTAGTATATACATATATTCCTAAAAGTAAATGACCTTATTTGCAATTCCACTTATATTTCCTACATGTGCATGCGTACTTTCTGTCAGAAAGCAGAGAGTAAATGAGTCAGTTGAAAGCATACATTCAGATGTCTTTGAAACATACCCAAAACCCTCTGCCAAAAGCTCAATATGAGGTCTTTTGAAGTGATTTAATCTAGAGGCTTTTAAGTGAAAAATACGTAGTAGAATAAAATTTTTATTCTTTTCAATTATATGGACAAGGAGTAATTTTTAGGTAAGCATCGAAGGCAGCACGAAAACCTTGACATTATGTGCAAAGTGTTACTTATTTACTGTGTAAATAACACTAAATGTGAGCTTCAACATATAAACATCTTTGCTAGTTGTCCTCTCTCACCTCTACGTCTTTAATACAAGAAAAATGTCTTCAATGAATTATTGTCTTATTTTGGTATAGTAGCATATATTTTCTTCAACATAATAATTATTAATACAATTAATTGTATTATTATTATAAAATACATAACAATTCTTAGTGCCTTACTATTCATAAGTTTGTTTTAATTATGTCTTCTCAATCTGTATGTAATTTACTACTTTATACATAAACACAAGCTGAGAAGGAATAAAGCTATTAAGTGACAGAAATGAACTTGATACAGATTTTCTGAATCAAAGTCCATGGCTTTTCACATTGACCAGATATCTATCATTTACATTATAATTGCATAATTAACAATACAGAATACCATAAGATAATCAGAGTCACAAAAGGTGAACATATTAACGCAAATGCAAAACAACCATGAAATCAGAGCTTCTATTTTGAACAACTCAAGGAGGTTCCATGTATGTTGTAACCTATGTGAATAGCGTCCTGGAATTTGGCAATGCATAACTTATTTGTCTGTATGAACTGATCTAGAACTGAATAATGAGCCTTCTTTAATGGTGCTGGATGATATGGTTGTTAATACTTCAAATAATAATGCTTTTACATTTACTAATTGATATTTGGTATTTCAATTTTCGTCTTATATATCATTATGGAAACATTTTAACATCCAAAAATCAATCAAAATTTTTGTGTCCACACTTTTAAATTCCCCATAAATACATATTTCTTATAACCAAAATAATATTCTTTCTTTTTCACTTATTTTATCATAAATCTCATATAAGCTGCTCTTTCCTTTTGTTTGCTATTAGAGACTAAATCACAATAAACATGCTCATGCACTCACTTCTTTTTTGTTTTTATAATTGTCTTCGAAAAAATTATCAGTTCAACATTATGAAAACCTTTATGACTTTTGCTAAATATCTTTATAATACTTTCCAAGTGATCACACCCACTTCTACTGGTAGCAGAAAGAATGAGGTTGGGAATTATCATCTCAGCCGCAGGTATGTCATTCATAGGAGTTTCGTTGCTTTAGTCTTTTACGGTATTGCTGCTTTGTTTAGATGTAAGGAGATCCTTGATGTTTGCTTTAATCATAATTAATTTGATTACTAATGAAGTAGAAGATGTTTCATGCATTTATTTATTCTGTATGTTCCTATTTTTGTCAAAATACTTGTTTACATCCTGGCTCATTTATCTATTGAGCATTTAATATTTTAAAATTAATTGGAATGAGATAATTATATATTGGTAATTCTTAAACATTTCAAGTCATGGGCTCCATTTGATTATCTGATGAAAATAATGAACCTTCTCTATAGAAAAATGTCTACACATACATATTTGCATATAGTTTCATAGAGTTCACTGACCTCCTTGCAGAAAACTCCTATAACCATAAAATCCAAGTTAACGATCAAAATTAAGCTACTCACTTTTAGTCAGTGAATGGACATATTTTCCCAAGTGGTCATATGCCTTTTAATTTTTATTTTAGTATGCTAAAATTTTATACGTATTTACTTGAATTGATATATTTTTATTGCTATTTGTCATATTGCTTAAAAGTTGACTATTTTAAGCTGTATACCCTTAGTTAACCTAAAGCCACCATACATACACATCACACATATATAAATTGTTCTAGAAACTATTTTGATACGTTAACATGATGTCTATTTCTGTAGTCACATAGTCTATAGTAAAACATATTAATGTGCAATCAGCAACAAAGCAAATGAGAAAAGAATAAAGTGATAGCTGTTTTATTACAAAATGATTATATGCTCCTGTTTAGTCATTTCAAGCAGCACATATTCTATTTCATTTCCTTTAGGGTTTGTTTATAACTGATTTTATTTTACTAATAAAAACATGCATGTGCATATTAATAAGAGAGGCAAAGAAGAAAATCTCTCTTAGGAAAATTTACTTGAAAACTGTTCCCTGGAGATGTCAAGAAGTGAAGAACCACTACTTCATAAATTGCAAAAACTGACCAACGTTTTATTTTATTCTCTCTACGGGGAAATCCCATATAAAATTAGCTTTCTAACATGACATAAAAATTGTATTTCCTCTCAGTAATCTTTAACCCCTTCTAATAAAGTTATTTTTATTCAGTATATGTGGCCTTTCATATTTTTTAAGATTAGTACAATGAACTTTTACCCTGTTATTAACTTTTATATTCCTTAGTCCCTCAGGAATATAAATGTGGGATATATTAAATTGCAATATTCTTGATTCACAAGAGCAAGTTACTGCAGAAGAATGATACTGGGCAAACTGAGGGAACATTAAATCTGTGGAACTGGCTTCCAGTGGCTTTGCAGGACTTATTAGAATTGTGGCCTTAAAATTGCCAAGCCTTAGCGTCTTTAACTGTGAAATGAGAATATTAATTGCTCTTTAACTCATGGAGCTATTGACAGGATATAATGAGATCATTTACTCGTGTAATAATTTATAAAATAAATATTTACAGAATGCTTACTATGACCTGGACATTGCACTAGTTACTGAAAATATAAACAAGATTCAGTCTGGGAGAGCTCTTAGCCTAGTAGATAATAGACACATCATAGATAAATATGAAACATTTTGCATAAACAAAAATATATATAAATTTAAAGCGTATTATAGGAGCATGGAGAAAGGAATATGTAGCCACATGGGTGTTAGAAAAGATATTTTGGAGAAGGTAATGGGTAGGTTGAGTTCAGAAGGATGAGAGAAAGTAAAGAAGGAATAAAGGTAGGAGGAGGATAAAGATGAATCTCACTGAGCAGACAGTAAGGACAAGGACAGAGTGATAAGAAACTGAAAGTACACGCTCATTCATTATGCAATTCTGTTTTGTTGCACTCTAAAATGTGAGAAAGGGAGTGGCATGGAATGAAATTGCAATGAGAGTTAGGAGCGAGATGCTGGAGAGCCTCCTTAAGACCTCTTCTCTGCCATCAGATAAACAATGTAAGTGAAAGCATTTAAAAACTGGGGGAAAAAAAAAAACAGAAAAACAGTTCTATAAACACTAACAATTATTCCCATTACACAAAGCAATTAACCATAATCTGTACAAGAAAATAAAATTTTTTTGACACAAGGTCTCGCTCTGTTCCCCAGGCTGGAGTGCATTGGAACCATCACAGCTCACTGTAACTTCAGACCCCTGGGCTCAAGCAATTCTCTCACCTCTGCCTCCTCAGTAGCTAGGACTCTAGGCACACATCACCACATCTGTCTAATTTTTAATTTTTTTTCTTTTGTAAAGATGGGGTCTCCCCATGTTGCCCAGGCTGGTCTCAAACTCCTGGACTCCATCAATCCTTCTGTCTCAGCCTCCCAAAGTGCTAGGACTACAGGCATGAGCCACCACATTCGGCCTAGAAAAACATTTTTTAAATGATATTTCCTTGGGGGCTAGTTAATATGTTAATTGAAGATCTTCATCCCTAATGTGACACAGAAAATGTATCTTTAAAAGGGGAAGGGAATATTAAAGTTGATACCAGTTTAGAAACTCACGTAGTGAAGAAATGCAATGGGATGAGTTAATTTCACTTAAAGAAAGAACTATGAAGCCGGGCGCAGTGGCTCACGCCTGTAATCCCAGCACTTTGGGAGGCCGAGGTGGGCGGATCATGAGGTCAGGAGATCAAGACCATCCTGGCTAACACGGTGAAACCCCGTCTCTACTAAAAATACAAAAAATTAGCCGGGCGTGGTGGCGGGCGCCTGTAGTCCCAGCTACTGGGGCGTGAACCTGGGAGGCGCAACTTGCAGTGAGCCAAGATCGTGCCACTGCGCTCCGGCCTGGGGGACAGAGGAGACTCCGTCTCAAAAAAAAAAAAAAAAAAAAAAAAAAAAAAAAAAGAAAGAAAAGAAAATAAAGAACTATGAAGTAATATGGGAGAGCAATTAAGTTCAGTCTATTCTCTGCTTCCATCAAACATGAGAAAAAAATGAAAAATATGGAAGATTAATGATAAACATTAGATAAGGTTATGTGATATTTTGGAGCATTATAAAGGAAGGAAACAAATTTAGGACATATTTAGAAAGTGGATTTACTGTGCCATTAATATTACAAAATGGCAGTGCAGAGTGGAGGAGGCTGCAATGGAAAATGGTATGAAAAATGCTTTCTATTAAATCTGAGTAATAGTCTTTGATTATGGGATTTTTCTACCGCCTGAGGTGACGTTAGTGGTCAGCTTACAATGAGGAGGTCTAAAATAATTAAACTTCTGCACGAAGAACAGAAAAGCTGTTCATGTCAAAGATATTTCTTTATTTCCCATTCGCTTTACAGTCAATGTAATGCAGTCTTCACTGCTCATCATCCTACAAAAGTTGTTCTTAATAACATCACCTACATCCTTTCTCATTTCCAAGAGAGTGACTGTCTGGATCAGAGCTGTAATCCCAGCACTTAGCATAGAATGTGTTACATAGTAGTGCTCAATAAAGGTGTTTTAAGTTAACGAAGACCAGATTTACTTTTTAGTCCTCTTCTCATTTTTCTCCTCTGCAGATATTAATTCTATTAAACTCTGGTAGGCAGAATAATGCCTCCTCAAAAATGGCCACGTGCTAATCCCTGACATCTGTGAATAAATTATGTTACATGGCAAAGTGGAATTATTGCAGATAGAATTAGACTTTCTAATTAGCTAACTTTTGATAGGGAGATTATCCCAGATTATCTGAGTGGGCAGGATTTAATCACAGGGGTCCTTAAAAGGGGGGAAATGTTGGCATAAGGGGAGAATTAGAAAGCACTATGAGAAGGACTTGGTCCGAGGTGGCTGGTTTTGAAGATGTACGAAGAAGGCCGTGAGCCAAATAACGTGGGAATTCTCTAGAAAATGGAAAAGGCAAGGAGACAGATTCTCCCCTGGAGCATCCAAAAGTACACAGCCCTTCTGGCATCATGATTTGAGTCCAGTAAGTTCCAGTTTGGATTTCTGACCTGCAGAACTGTCTGAGAATAAATGTATATAATTTTAAGCCACTAAATTTGTGGTAATTTTATAGCAGCAATAGGAAACTAATAAATTACATTTCATATTTAAGGCTATTAAGTGACAAATGTGTACTGACACCTACTAGGTGGTAGAAAAACAACTGTGAGAAAGGCAGTGTCTCTAGCTTTTTTCCTTCTAGCTTAGTGAGAGAAGCAGACACAACAAAAGGGTATGTTGATACAAATATACAGATAAGTTGCCTGATGAAGAAACTACAGTCATGTGACAATCATATATTAAGGAAACTACCTTGAAAAATCCAGAGCTTCCTTGATGAAGTGACATCTCAGCTGAGTTTTGAAAGTTAATTAAGAGCAGAGAGACAAGTGGTAGAAAAGAGAACTCCAGAAAATCAAAAGAGCAGGTGAAAGTGTCAGGATGTGAGAGAAAGAGTATGGTCCTTTCCCAGACCTAGAGATGGTGGAGGAGGATAAAAATGGCAGAGATGACCCTAGAAAAAGTGAAATTATCATCAACCTATTTATGAAGAGCCTGAAAATATAGCCAGAGGGCAGTTCGAAATCAAAGCAGAATTTTAAGTAGGGAAATAGCAATGTCAGGCTTGGCTTTTAGAAATAAATTTCACAGTGTAGAGAATATTTGGGGATAAACTGTAAATAAGAAGACACATGAGCTGATTATACCTATAATCCACGTGAGAAGTAAGCATGACTTGCATTAATGAATGGCAGTGGGGCTGGAAAAGGAGTAGGTGCATTCAAGATGTGTTTACGGGGTAGTATTGGTAAGTACTAATTATTAATTATATGTGGAGTTAGGGGAGTTGGATCATGGATAATCAATGATAAAGCTAAATTCCCTGATGGAGAAACTACAGTTCTGTTACAATCATATATTAAGAGAACTAACTTGAAAAATCCAGAGCTTCTCTGATGAGGTTACAGGCTAGATTATTCAGAATGGCATATAAGGGCCTTCACAATTTGACTCCAGTGTACTCCTCTAAACATATTATCGATTAGGCCTGTTGGCAGTCACCCATATCCCAAACCTTATATACATCTACCAGGTCTGCCTTAGTCACACAAGCCAAATTTCTCCATAAATAAATCATATGCTTTCTTGCTTTAGTCCTTTGTTCATGCACTCCCTAGAATGAGGACACTCACTATTAAGATCTAGGTCGAATGTGAGGGTTTTCACAATCACACTTATCTCCCTGGCATAACTTATCAATCAATCCTTCTGATATATACATATGTGTAGGCTTTTTTCTAATTATGCATATGTGTTACACACATAAATACTTTAACTGTATGTGTATGGACACACAGATACTTTAATTGTGTGTGCATTATAATTTATAAAGTGATTTCAAATATCTCATCTTGCTTACACTCACACATACACACATACACACACACAAACAGAAAATTAGTTTGTTGTCTTCCAATAATGCAGCCCAAATCCCACTCATTACCTCCTAAATGTGACCACACTTAGATGGGAGAATTATTATGTCTTTGCAACTCCTGGCACCAAACATGGTATACTGAAGCAGAAATAGGTACTTAGTAAGGGTTTGTTGAATAAATCAAGTGACTAATCAATACTGTAATTAAATCTCAGATCTACTAAGTCCTAGACCAATGCTTTCCCCCTGCACTTCATCATACTGCTCAAACTACTCTGTTAATTATAGACCTTCTGTCACCAATTCATTTCCTAAATTATCCATTGAGCACCCATTAGACATAAAACTAACTTTCAATGACTTCTCCCCAAAATTTAGCCTTGGAACTGAAATATTGCTACTTATTTTCATCACTACAATGAATAAAAAATTAAGAGAAAGAATATTTCTTGCAAACAATCTGCCTTTATTTCTCTAGGTGAATTTCACTCTGTAATATGATATAATTGCCCTTTACTTCATCTTTCATGACTGTCATGCTTCTGACACAATGTAAAATGCTATGGATGACCTGTCTGTTCCTTTGCCTCCACTGCAAACGCCACTTCTTTCTCAGGTAGGTCAATTGCTTTTTTATTGTAGGGAGTTGTTGGACTCAGAAACCAGATTGGAAAGCCATGTCAGCTCATATTGAATAAAAGTTCTCTCCCATTCCCTGCCACTTAATCACAGAATTTATGCTCCATTAGCAAATTGGAGTTATGGTGAGAACCTAACATAATCGCATAGTTGTATATTCATAAAAATTGCAATGCTCTATACATTGGAAACATAGCACAAGTATTGTAGAAATATACTTGTGAAGAATTAATCGAAGTTGCATGAAGTAGGACATAATGACAATGAGATTGAAGAAATGTATTAGAGTGGAAGAATGATCAGAACTCCAAGAGTATATGAAAAGGTGTTAAGTGGTCTCAGTTGGAAAAACAGTGCCATCTGGTAGATTGTGCAAACAGTTAATTCTTATCCTCTTAAAATTGCATGTGTTAGATACAATGCAGGCCGGGGTTACATCATACACTCATTTCAGAGTCAAATAACCTGAGTTCCAACTCCAGTTTCACATCTCATTATCTCTGTGGCCTTGAGTAAGTTACTTAACCTCTCTGTGTCTCATTGCCTCTATTTGTTTCATGGTAATAGTAATAAAGATACTGAATTGTGAAGACTAAATGTGACACATGTATGACATATTAATGCTGAGAAAGAGAAAAAAATAGACAAAACCTATAAATCTTTACTTCCAAATATATTACAACTTCCCGTGGGTCTTCTGTATAAATGACATTATTTCATAAAATAGACACGATTGCTACGTGGCAGCCATGTTAATAATTAGTAGGATTTTTATAGTATTTGTAAATATGCAAAAAATTCAAGTCTTCTCGATTTGAAAGATAAAAACAAAATATGAAATGATATTCACATAAATTATACCTCCTCATGCTCAAAAGAATGAAGTAAGTTTTTAGTAATAATGGAAATAATGGATATTTCTGTGGTGCATTATAATTTATAAAGTGATTTCAAATATCTCATCTTGTTTAAACATGAGTATGTGGGTGTAGACTTGTTAGGAGTAAAAATAAGTTACTATTAATTAGTATGCAGACTTGAAATGTGCTTTGGTAGTGTTCATGAGAAAGATGACTTATTTTTGTTAAAGTAATAACCATAGACTAATTATGACAGAATAAATCAAAATAAGGTCAAGGTCTCCAGTGTAATTTAGAGGTGAAATTAACTACTTGGATATTGTAGCAGAACTGCTAACTAGATGCCTGTTTCCATACAGCTGCCTACTCAATATTACTTTTAAAAGATTCAAATTCTCCCCTGAAAATTTAAAAAAATACATTGTTCTGTGGTGTATATTTATCTATTTTTATGGGTTGCAAAATACTTCTTTGCAAACCAAAAGGAAAGCAAACAGCCAAATGTGCACGACACACAACAGCCATTTCCAAACATACTGTTAATGAGATGCTTTAGAAACAGACAAATGGTCAAACACAGGGCCTGGATTATAAGGGGATATTTAAATCACAAGATGTATTTACTCAACTTACACTATGGAGTAAAGGTTAATAAAATGGCATAGTAGATGAGGATAATGCCTCATCCCTTATTTCACCGAGCCATCCCTGAGTTCACCTATAACTATAGTGAACGGATTCTGTGGATGCTGAAGATTCCTCACCACAAGCATCCACATCTCTCTGTTTCTTTGTGTTAAGGCTTTCTTCAGTTTAGGAGGGCTTGGTAAGCCCATTTGCAGGGCAGTCCAGAAGTGATAGAGATTTAGTTCTCCCAGGGGCAACCCTCAATAAACGAGGGACAGAAGTCTATGTATTAAAAAGGACAAAAAAAAAAAAAAACAATGGAACAATTGCTAAGCATGCCCTGTAGGGCTCCTCAATTGTTGCATGGGATATGTAATCCAGAATGGCCCATAGGAGCATCGTTATTGTCTGCTCTCTGTAGTGGAATTTGGGCCCACATTTCTTGGCTTGATCATGCACTAGTTATGCAGTGTTAGAAAAGACTCATAGGCCGGGTGCAGTCTCTCATGTCTGTAATCCCAGCACTTTGGGAGGCCCAGGTGGACGCAGCATGAGGTCAGGAGTTCGAGACCAGCCTGATCAACGCAGTGAAGCCCCGTCTCTACTAAAAATAAAAAGATTAGCCGGGCGTGGTGGCGGACACCTGAAATCCCAGCTACTTGGGAGGCTGACGCAGGAGAATCACTTGAACCTGGGAGGCTGAGGTTGCAGTGAGCCAAGATCATGCCACTGCACTCCAGCCCCGACAGGAGTTCAAGACTCCATCTCAAAAACAAACAAACAAACAAACAAAACAAAGAAAGAAAAGACTCATAAGCCACACCAAACCCAAGATTTCCAGTCTGAAAAGAGGAAATAATCGTGGTAAAAAAACTCTTAGCTTCACTTTGATGAGGTATCCTGTAAAGCATCGAAAGTAGTCTTAAGCAAAGACTTAGTACAAAGTAAGTGCCAATAGAGATCAGTATTATTATTCCTGACTATATATTTAATTGCATTAGAACTTCTTGAACAAGTTGGTAGTTTACATTATTTGCTCATCGGTTTCTTTTTCTTCCTCCTTTCCACTTGCCATGGTTCACCATGGGTGGATTACACATCCCACTCACTGATGTGGCCTTGGTCATGTGACTTGCCTTGACCAGTGGAACACAGTCAGATATGAGAGTGTGTCAATTCTGAGCTAGGGGCTTAAGAATCATAAAGTGTTTTCACTTTTCTTGGTCCTTCCTCCCTTTGTCAGGGGAAGTACACGCCTCAGGTAGCCTCTGTTCCTAAAAGGAGAGATGCATAGAGCTGACCTGTACTCAATACAAAATTGAACCTGACATGTGAATAAGAAATAAATGTTTGTTCTTATAAGTCATTGAGATTTGGATTTGTTTTTTACAGAGCATTAGCCTATAATAAAGCTGACTAATATAGCAGGTAAATAGTAAATGTGGCCCATAGAATAAAATTCAATAATGATGGAATGTATATAACCTCTTCATTTAAAAAAGAGAGGGTTGTATTCCATCATTAAATTTAAAATAAGCTGAAGAATGGGTTTTAAATGAAGTATTAAAAGCTTTCCAAAAATTGCCCTTTCAGAATATATTATCTTTTAAATCTTGGTCTTTCTCCTTACCATACCATTCAAAATTTAAACATTAAAACAAGCAGGTTGTTCTCATACATGGCCAAGTATTAGCACAGACAGAAATCAATGTAGAAAACAATTTAAGTGGAAAATAAGTTTTAAGGAAATGCAGTGAGTTATTGTAATAGCAATGGTCAGTACTGAGCCTGCTCATTTCCACCTTGTGCCAAATACTGAAAGCACTTAAAACAGAAATAAAGTTTCGGAGTAATCATTCACTCCCTGTTCACCAAATACGGAAGTCTTAAGCCAGTGTTTATGAAAGATCAAGCCAAAAATTATAAATAGGAATGAAGGCCAAACATGTTTTCAGCACTGACGGGAAACTTTGCAGTCAGTAAAAGAACATTAGAGTCAGTCTTTTAGAAAAGGGTTTGGAAAATTATTACTGAGAATACAAAAGAAATCCTGGGAGCTAATCAAAAGAGGAGACAGTTTTGAGAGTTAATCAGGTGCCAATGCTAATAGATTATCCAAGTGGCAGAGCAAAGAAGGTCCAGAGTCACACAATCAATTTTTATTCAGCTTGAGTTGCTAATACTGATGACAAGTGGTTAACGACTGCTTCTTCCAAGATTCTTAATGAAAGACTTCTCTTTTCTCAGGTTTATTATGCCACTGGATTAAAAAAGGTATTTATTTCTGTACTAAGATCGGTGACAGGACTACACCGAGAACACGTCCCTCAGTGTACATTGCCAATAGATGAGTTTTGTCTATATCTTGATTGACTAATCATTTAATAGATGTGAGTGTAGGTTGGCATGCAAATTAAGTAACTTTTGGCCAGGCGCGGTGGCTCACGCCTGTAATCCCGGCACTTTGGGAGGCCGAGGTGGGCGGATCACAAGGTCAGGAGATCGAGACCCTCCTGGCAAACACGGTGAAACCCCGTCTCTACTAAAAATACAAAAAAAAAAAAAAACTAGCCGGGCGTGGTGGCGGGCACCTGTAGTCTCAGCTACTTGGGAGGCTGAGACAGGAGAATGGCTGAACCCGGGAGGCGGAGCTTGCAGTGAGCCGAGATCGCGCCACTGCACTCCAGCCTGGGCGACAGAGCGAGACTCCGTCTCAAAAAAAAAAAGCTCTCATACTAGCCTTATTGTTTGCACTTAGGTATCACTGAGTTGAACTTGTAGAGGAAAATATAACAGAATTACAAAAGATTTAGACATTGTAGAAAAAATTTGGATTTTTATTATATAAAACAAACAATAGATTTTGAGGTTTTAAGGGAATTTTCTGTTTCGAAAAACAGCATTTTAAGTATAGTTTTATTTCATCTTCATAAATTGTAAACTTTATTTTAAATTCTAGTCATTACAAAAGACTTTAAGTCAAATGGCAAATTGCTTTCCTCTATAGCCAATTTAAAATGTTTGAATGGTTATCTATATATACATATGTATTCAGGTTGTGTTCATATACATATTGTTATATACATACATAAGCTTCATACATATATAACATATAAAGTTCATATATGCATGTGTATAATTTTATATTCTGATATGAATATAAAATTCATGAATTGTAGCACACTGAAAACATTAGTTTTTGATTAGAGAACATTAAAATGATTGTAAAGTAGAATCTCCAGAATTTCCAAAGTTTGTAAATTGAAGACATTCGAATTTTCTAATTTAAAGATTTGATCATTCCGAGCGCCTACTAAACGAATTATAAAGGGAATGGCTTTCCTGAATTACAGTAATATGGTAGTTTTAGCTTTGAACCTGCCTATCTGGGTTCGAAAGGTAGTTCTGCTACTTATTAACAGTGTGCCTCTGTTTCCTCACCTGTAGAATAATGATAATAATATCGGTGTAGCTTTGTCATGAGCTTTGGATGAATGTTCCCACTTGAACCCTGGCTCTAACACTAACTTGCTCTATGGGCTTCTGTTAATCATTTAATTATGTGGAATACAATTTCCTCAACTTTAAAACATAGAATTTGGAAAAGATAATTTCTATGTGTTCCGCCAGTTCTAAAACTCTATCATCTGCTTCTTTATTCTAGGTTTTTGTTTGTTTATTTGTTTCTGCAGGATGCAGTTTACAGTCCTTGTTGGAGTATGCTCTGGAATCATACGGCCTGGATTTAAAGTCCAGTTTTGCCGCTTACTGGCTGAGTTTTCTCAATTTATTTACATAACTTTTCTTTCCTTTAGTTTTCTCATCTGTAAAATAGGTACTAAAATAATAACTATCTCATAGTGTCGTTGTGAGGACTAAATAAGCCATTATCTTTATATGGCATAGAAAGTGTCTGGCCCCAAATGAGTAATCAACATTGTTATTCCTATCCTGAAATCTATGGGCTTTCAATACGACTATGGAATAAACCCCTAAAATTGTGGGCAAAATTTTATGAGTGTGTATATATGAGAGTCCACAGTCATCAGCAGATTCTAAAAGGGCTCCATGGTTTGAAAAATGTTGGATGAAAAATATAGACATTATTCTGGCTCTTATGGATATTAATGATCTCTGTTTTACTTTTTTCTGGAACAGTGGCATTAACAGCAATAGACCTGTTTTTATTATTTTTCTTTACTTTGCTTTTTTTTACATGTTTATTTAAGAGATCTGCTCTTCATCTCTGTCACCATTGTACCATTCTTTTTATGGATATACACACAGTAATTGGCACTGAAAGAGGTATAATTATATACACTGCAGCTATGCCAGAGAAAGCCAGGGCTCCTTATCTGGCCTAGGGAATAAATAATGGGTTTTCTTCATATTCTCTTAGATATTACTCTTCAGCCACCTAGGATTGGGCACTATTTTTTTGTTGTTGTTAGTTTCTTGTGCTTCCATATACACAGATGCAGTTTCTTGTCACCCATTATATTGCAATGCCCTTTCTGAAAAGAGCCCAGCCTTTTTCTGTAATGTACTTTGACAGTAAGTATTGACATAATGTAATACAGTAATTGGAACTCAGAAAGATTTGTTTGCTACCTGACTGCTTAAGATATTTTAATGCCTTAATCGGACACATATTTTTAATGCACATTTTTCTTTAGTTAGAGCAGCCCATGTCATGAAGGAACCACTCAAATGTGGAATTGATGGTTTTCACAGGATATAAAAAACATCATGCCATACAAGAAACAAATCACTCCTTTCTGCATAGATACAGTGAATTCACAGCTTGGAAACCAGTATTTTCAAAGCGTGGTATGAAAGTGTCTGAGAATAAACTCTCAGCAGAGATCAGTAGAAATAACCAGTAACCGCTAAAAGAGGAACATTATTGATTGGCAAAGTAATCCAAAAAAGAGAAAAGATGTGTGTGAACTTAATACTAAATTTAGACAAGTATTCATTGATTAGGAAATCAAAATTCAAGATAAAGAAACATCTTCAGAGATTAAAAGTAGTCTTTCATTGTTTGAGTAACCTAGCTGAGGAGTCAAACTAAAACCAATAGATTGTAATTAGTATGATGCTTTAGGATAAAGTTGAATAAAGAGAGCGAGAGAGAGACAGAGAGACAGATGCATTATTTACCCTGATGTTTATACAATGCCAAGGTCAATTAATTTATAAATTAAATTTATGTTTATTAGCCAAATTTTAGAAACTAGAGAAAAAGTGAGTATTAAAAGCTTTAGGATTTAAAGTTTGATATATTTCCTTTGCATTTTCCTTGCATAATTGTAATTGCATTGCACAAGTAGTTAGACACCTTACTTTCTTCATTTAAAATAACAGGTTTTCCAATGTTGTTCAAACACAATTTAAATATCTAGAAGCATTGTCTTCTTTGTTCCCATAAAAATTACCGTTCTGCTTTTTTTTGGAACCTTGAAAAATGGTCTCATAATTTTTGCTATTAAAATAGTCTTGCAATTACTATCAATATAGATAAAGCCTCCACCCAAATGTGGGATTATTACCTTAGAAAAGAGTCTCAAAAATTATAATGGATTTAGGTGAAAAATCATCTCCGTAAGTTTTGGTACATATTTTCAAATTACTTCTCAAAAATTCCATATTAAACCACATTCCTACCTGTAATGGATGAAAAGGTCTATAACGTTGCATTGTAACCTACATTGAATACATTAAATAGAAATGTAATTCATATGTAATTCAATGTAATTCACATATATGTCTGTGTATGTCTATCTAAACATGAATGCATGTGTGTGTATATATATATATACATACATATACATATACACATACATACGTATGTATTTAAAGAATTTAGACTTGGGTCTTAGAATCAGGCTCTCCCTGAATCCTTCAACTGCGAGATATAAATATAAGGGAATGTTGGCAATCATGGTCTGCTACATGAGGAACAGCGGAAGCCAATCTGCAATAAAAAAGATAGTTTAGAGAGAAGGAGATGTGACAGAGAGTCCTGGAAGGTTTTGATTGCATTTTCTGAGGTGTACTGCAATTTGCCCTAACCTGCCTTGAGAAACATTTTAATCCTTAGAATAAACGTATCCTTTGGAATAAATTCCACATTTGATAAAGATAGTTCAAATTTGGTATAAGTTATTTGTAGCCAAGTGTCCTAATTAATACTCAAGTAATAAGTAGTTTACTGCTTAACAGTAGAATTAGTTCTATTTCATATAATTTTTCCATCTCTCATTCAGATGGGAAGTTGCTCTCCTTCCTCTTGTAAGGTCATGATGCTCTATATCTGCAAACTCAAGGGAGAAAAAGTCTCTTAACTTGAAACTATACAGGAAAAAAAAAAAACCCTGATGTCATTTCTAGTACTTAATTGGTATTTATCTGCCATAAACACATGAAGCTGTTTTGGTTTGTTCAGTTACCCTTGTCTGCATAGGGCCATTTAAACCCAAATTGGAATTGTCTCTGGGTTACTATCAGTGATAACAAGAACTTTCAATTCATGCCAATTATAGGAATTCACAAACACAGATAGGGGTGACCAAGGAATCCAACCAGAACTTTCTGTTTAGTTTCATTAGACTCAGACTTAATGAGAAAAAAAAATCATTAGCACTGAAAAACTTGTAAGTCTTGTTTAGTTTCTTGCTGAAATTTAAATAATACTGATTGTGTCTGTGATGGAAACTGGTAAAGAATAAAATGAATATTTAATTTAGTAAGGTATACAAAACAAAACATGAGAGGGAGCATAGCTATTCCTAAATGGAAAAATAAATTGGTATACTACAATAGGAAGTATGATTTCCTTTTAATATGTTTGTTTTATAGAAGTTACTAATTGCAGAAACCATTTTGATTTAACATCATCAATAAAATCAATGTGTGAACAATATCATTACATTCGAAAGATGACATGTCTAACAAAATGGCACTATCAATATATATGTATTTAAAGACAGTCTCCCTTTAACTTTGCTAGACACCAAAAGTTTAAATGCACAATGCCAAGGGCAGTTAAGTGTCAAAATACAAATGTATCTTAATATTTTATTTAAGGCTTCTATTGTTAAAAATAATGCATCTAACATAATAAAGAGGGTATTTGAAATTTCATATTTCAATATCCCCATGGTTTGCCATAGAAGACAAATATAAATACATGCATGAAATTGTGATTTTATTTTCTTGGTTACTTTTTGGTTACAGCTCATCACTTTGCATTAGTGCATACCTCCAAACCTCCAATAATCTCATATGCATCATTATAAGGAGATGAAAGGGATTAAGAAATAAGTTTAAGTCAGTGCATAGAATATTAAAAGTTCCTTTGCATCTAATATGAATGGAAGTGATTACTATTAATATAAACTCAATAATAAAATAAGCAAATGCCTGCTTTTATTTTCTCCTAATTAACAAGTTTAATCCTTTGCACTTAATGTTAGTTGTTTGCCCCGGAGCCCGGCATTGGTAGACATCTCACTGCTCATGGGCCATTCTTGTCACCTTGACTCCCAGCTCAACTTTGGGATGGATGTTTCAAACCACCTGCCTCGATGTGTTCAAACTTTGTGTGAGAGCATTTTTGAAGGAATGTAATTGAGTATGAATTATGTGACAGTAGATATGTGAATTTTGACTGAAAAGTTTTGTAAAACTTGAGAAATGAACCTTTTGGCTGGGCACGGTGACTCACATCTGTAATCCCAGCACTCTAGGAGCTGAGGTGGGTGAATCACTTGAGGTCAGGAGTTCGAGACCAGCTTGGCCAACATGGCGAAACCCCGTCTCTACTAAAAAACACAAAAATTAGCCGGGCATGGTGGCATGCACCTGTAATCCCAGCTACTCGCAAGTCTCAGGCAGGAGAATCGCATGAACCCAGGAGGCAGAAGTTGCAGTGAGCCAAGATCGCGTCACTGCACTCCAGCCTGGGTGACAGAGCGAGGCTTCGTCTCAAAAAAGAAAAAAAAGAAAAATGAAATTTTTTCTTCAATTTTATAGTAAATGAAGAAAACATTTCATTTCTCCGAAGACTATTTTGATTGACACCCGTAGCCTATGGGGGTTTCATATTCCCTCTTTTCCGTTGTTGGAGATATCATGGTTTAAATTTTTAGGAAGTATCTCAATCATTCATAAAAGTGTGAGTATTCTAAGTTACTTCAATGAGATACAAAATTTTGGAGCCCTGCTTCCATGTTTCAACTTCAAAAGTAGAAGTCAGTTCGAACTCCCTGGTGACTGCACTTGAGAATAAACTATCAGTCAATACCACACTCCTTATCTTTTCTTTTTCCTTCCTACGCCCACCCCACCCCACCCCACCAAACAAACAAACAAAACAAAAAGGCCAGGACAGCAGGTTCTACACTTTTGAATGCAATTTTGGACAGTGTGCCAAATCTCAGTTTCAACATCACAAATTAGGTTTCACAAATGGATTCTGAATATACAAAATGCTTTTGAGTCACCTTTTTTCTTCACCTTTAAATTAAAAGCTCTGAAATACAATGAAGTGTTTTCTTCAGCTTTTCATGACTTTTCCCATTGGGTGATTCACAGATAACAGGTCCTCAATACATTTTTATTA